>NC_000009.12:63252862-63492264 GCF_000001405.40 Homo sapiens | reverse complement strand
GAATTCTGCATAGCAGAGAAGAAGCCAAGATGAAGAGAATGTCGAGAAGACTCTAGTGTATAGAAAATAATATTTTTTCAGAGTTGTTTGACTATCATGAGAAGAAAAAGTGTTTAAACAAACTTATAGGGAGAAACAGCATAAAGTCAAGAAGTACAGGTTTGTAAGTTCTAAACATATGGCATTCCAGGAGGCAGAGTGAACACTGTTCCTGGTCTGAGACACAGTCACCTGAGAAAAAGCCATTTTTCTCTTCATCGTCCTTCTCTAGGATTTATTCTCAGGTGATATTCTCTGGACAAGTCACACCTGCATCTTGGGAATATGCCTTTAAAGGAATCAGCACAATCTCTTCACCTGCTACCACCACAAACACAGGTAGAAAGATCCAGGCATGCAGAAAATGTCCACTCATTTATGTTCTTTATAACAGGTGAGATTCAAGGACAGTGAGCTCCTCCACAAAGATCAAAATTTATCTTTCTCTTTTCCTGCCACAGATGCCACAATTTCTGCTACAGCAATGGGGATATGGGCCACACTAACTTGTCCCTACCAAATCCAACCATTGGAATGGACCTCCCTTTGGAATAAAGTTTGAACTCAACTCTCATGAATGTATTTTGAATTCCTCATGTTTGACCCTGGCCTCAACCTGGAGTCACATGAGGCACTTAATTATATCAACAAGGATGCTCCCACCCACACCAATATACAGAGCCTGCGGGAAGGGCACAAGTGAAAAGATTTCTGCAACCTGGCCATGGAATCTTAATTAGAAGCCTGGGCCAAGAACCACTTAG
Organism: Homo sapiens; assembly: GCF_000001405.40. Taxonomy (NCBI): domain Eukaryota; kingdom Metazoa; phylum Chordata; class Mammalia; order Primates; family Hominidae; genus Homo; species Homo sapiens. Next base: position 63,491,461 of record NC_000009.12, on the reverse strand, counting down.
CTAAACATTGCCTCTCAAACTTCAGTGTGCATATAAATCATTTGGTAACCCTGGCCCTACACTATGTAATGTGATTCTGCAGGTTTTAAAAGCATCCATGAAAGTGCATTTTAAACACATCTCCTGTCAATGCTGATGTAGCTTCCCCAGACCCATCATTAGTAGCATTTAGCTAGAGAAAGCAGGCATGGAACAAACTCTTACACTCATCACTCATCACAACACAAATACTTCTGATCAAATAAAAAATCGATCTCTATCCTGAAAAACCACATTCTTTGCTAGCTCTTTAACTTCAGAGACAGGAGAAGGCAACAACGTCTGAGTAAGTCTGCACTGAAAAACAACATGTACACATATACTTATGCAATGCTTATTAAGCAGGTACTATGTGCTCCGGAGTATGTTACAGAGCACTGTGCCGGGAACATCACATTATGTGATTTAATCTTCATAACAACTTGAGAGTTGGGTACTAAGTGTTAAATAATTCTCAGAATTTAGATGAAGGGGCCAGCATTGTTTTCTTCCCTGTTTATCTCTTATTGATTTTTTTTTTTTTTCGGGACGGAGTTTCACTCTTGTTGCCCAGGCTGGAAGTGCAATGGCACGATCTCAGCTCACCACAACATCCGCCTCCTGGGTTCAAAGGATTATCCTGCCTCAGCCTCCCGAGTAGTTGGGATTACAGGCATGCACCACGACACTGAGCTAAGTTTGTATTTTTAGTAGAGACAGGGTTTCTCCATGTTGATCACGCTGGTCTCGAACTCCCGACCTCAAGTGATCCGCACACCTTGGCCTCCCAAAATGCTAGTATTACAGGCATGAGCCACATAGCCCGGCCTCTCACTGATTTTTTTAAAAAATGTATAGCATAAGTGATAAATATAGACAGATGGGAGGGATACAGAAAGGAAAGGGTTAAGTGCAGTTTAAAGGGATTTTTTATTGTGTTTCTTTTACTTTCTTGTGACTTGTGGAGTAACTACTGGGATGGAATGTCTCTACAAGCACTGGTTTTAATTAAAAAGAAAGAAGTTAAGACCTCAAAATATATAGCTTATTGCTCTAATTTATCTGCTTTTGGGTTTCAGAATATTGTGAGCATAAGCTCTGGAGAGGCAGCAGAAGCCACCTCCCAAATCTCTGGTCTCCTCTTATGAGTTCTGTGAGGAGAAACTCCAGGGTGGGACCAGACCTGAATGAGCCTCAGAAAAGGGTGAATCTGGACAGAGCTGGGGTGGAGAAACGGTCCAATGTTGAATTATGATCTCTATGCTGCTGGAGTACTTCTTGTTCTGTCTTTCCTAAGCCTGTCCAAGAGAAACTTAAGAGTTTGTATAATTTTAATCCATTTAGCCACTAATCTATTTTATAACATATAATAACAAGCAATTTAACCAAAACTTTTAGGGCTTCCTAGGATAATTTTATTAGAAAATATGTATTCTTAGCAAGGTAAAAGCAGTAGAAATACAAATAACTCTCCTGTTTGAGAATAGCTCTTCAGGTGGTGACATCAGAAGTCACAACAACATCAGAGTCATCGCCCAAGTCCCCTTAACACTCCCACTTTATTGTATTGACTATATGATGCTTAATTAAACCATTTATCCAGTTGCTCTAGACTGAAAGTTTTTGAATGACAGGGACCCTGACTGCTTCATCTATTTTTCTAAAGGCCATATGAAATGGAGGCAATTTGTTTATCAGTCCAAGTCTCCAGAACTCCTGAATTTTTTGCCAAGGAAACTGGAGAAACTCTTGTCCAGGTACCAACGAAGGAGATTCTTTCTACAAAAGAAGGAACAGACACTGAATGACTCATTTCCCTTCCTCTAACATGGAAGCAGAATTAGGCACTCCTGCCAGTCTGACCCAAGTCTGTACAGGACATCCTGAAATGTCTTAAAGATTCCCGGGTGATTGTGAGAGGATTCCTAGTGACCATAGACTGATGACCATATGTTGATCCAGGTAGGAAAGACTCAAGCTGATTCTAAATAGAAAATGGAACTGCCCTGGTAGAGCTCCAGAACCTGGATCTACATGTGATATCACCTGTTCTGATTAGCTAGGTCTTAGGTAAGAGAAAGGACAAGAATACTCTACTCCAGTATCACATTTTACAAATAGGTAAACTTATGTCATTGCTCTGGGTATTTTGTGGCTTTGATCTCTCCCTGCTGACATGCATGTTTACACTTACAGATTGTGCAACCAGATTCTATTTACACCAGCAGCCTCTCACATAACCATAGCAGGTCACTGGAAAAGATCTGGAAAGCTCAAAGGGATACACTCTGAAAGAAGGGCTTTAAGATTTCTATGCTGACATCTCACAGATCAGAAAATGTCTCCTATGGGTTTTCTGTACATTCTCAATCCAAAATCTGGCTCTCTCCTGTGAATCCCAGGGAGAGCTCAGCTCTTATGTACAGATTACAGGTAAGATCAACCTGACTCTTCATTCTTTGGTGTTACAGCAAGGAGAGTAAAAAAAAAAAAGTTTCCATCATAAAGTCTGCTCTAGCACATGATATGTCAGCCTAAAAAGAAAAGGCTAAGGCAACACTCATTTAACTAGAGAGTTTATTTGGGCCAAGCCTGAGGATTGAACTCTGGGAGCATAGATTCAAGTTGCCTTGAATGTACACTTTAATTAGCAGCAGTTACAAGTGGATTTACAAAGGCAAAAGAGAGGGACAGGGAGTGGACTGAAACAAAGTTGTTTGTCAGAAATTCTTCTTGATCTACAGAAATAACATTGATGACTAATTGGCTATATATTTTTAAGCTGTGAGGTATTGCTTGTAACATCTAGTGTGGCATTATTAGGTTAATTTATATCTACTTGTAGGAATAGCAAACAGTTTCAAGAGGTAAACACGTAGCTCAAAGGAGGCAGTAGAACATAATTATGTTCTCATTTTTGTGTCCCTCCAGGCCTGATAAAACTAAAAGGACTTGCACTCCTCAGATCAAAGTTATTCTTTTTCCTCTAATCTCAAGACCGAGATTCAGAATTTGGTACTGTAGATTTAGGTCCTGGATGGATGGAGAAATGGCAGGTGTTAACTGCACATTCATGGGAATTTTGGGAGGAGGAGAAAGAGGAACTTTGAGATACTCATGTTTACTCAATGCACACATGTCACCCTAATTGTTCTTCTGGGCCTAATAGTCTCCAACTCAGTTTCAGGTCTCAAGACACTATGGTCACTGAAAGAGGTGAAATGGTTGATTACTGTCCTGTGAATTTTGTCAACCACTGTAGAAAGGCTTAACCTCTCTATGAGTGGTTGTAGAGGACTATAGATGTGAAACAGGCAGAGACACAAGACTGCCTGCATACTCTGGGGGCAGTGTGCACTTTGAAGCACAACTGACTGGGTTGACTGGAAGCCTGAGGGGGAAAGCTTTCTCTAAAGTGAAGCTTGGTGGGCAATTTATACATATATACAATGTCTGGTAATTGTGAACAGTGTTTGAGAAATATAATTAAAAGGAAAATTATCTCCAATCCTAGAAAAACCCCACAATAACAGAACAGAAAGAAAAGTGTTTTATTGCACAATAAAACCAGAATGTTATGTGACATGAATCACAGACAATCTGCTCAAGAGATTGCAAAGACAGAAAGGTCTCCATAATTAGTCCTCAAGTGGAAGATTTCATGGCATCATTTGTCATACACAGTTTATCCTAAGTTCACCTGGTAATTGGGGAGGCCATCTGTGTATGTTAATTAGTTATATTGAAAGGAAAAATAAACTTCTGACATCTTCACGATAGGAGGTAGTTTTGCAACTTACAGCCAGGTGCCTGCTGAAAGTAGGCTCTGGTTCTTTTACAGACACTGTGAGATAGGATACTATTCTTTTGGCTATTTACATTTCAAAGCAAAGGGTCCCTACTCCCTAGGCCATGGGCTGCAGCAATCCTGCTTGCCCTGTCCTGGTGGCCTGTGTCCCATCTCTTCCCCTTCCATCTACCATTGAGGCACAGCTCACAGCACACAGCTGGCAGCCCACATTCCACATGGACTCCAACCACCACAGCTGCACTCCAGTGTCACATTATGGAGCAGGGTCCCTGAACTGCAGGAGGAGAACCTGCAGGACTCCTGGGTAGGATTGCACTTTTGCAATAATGGAAATGGGAGCAATGTTTCAGCTACGTTTCTATTTATGATGGTGACAAAAAAATACTGCTGGATTCCCAGCATGGGTCTGGATAGAGTGCAAAAGAGTTCTCATTGTGACAGCCCAACTCACTCAGAAACACCATGAGACACTTTTGGGTGTCCCTTCTGAAGACAGACACCGAAAGCATTGAAGAGAAAAACAGCCCTCAGTCTGAATAAAATTGTATTAAGAGGTTAAAAGCATCTGAAAGAAAAATTCAGATTACATATAATATTAGCCAAGTCGACCAGAAAATACTCACTCCCCTGAGACAGTTTCTCTCTAAACACCCAAAATGCACAGCCGCTCTCAACACAAGAAACACAGTGTTATGATGAAAGGGGGCATATTCTCAGCAGAATTTCTTAAGATTTTTCTTCCATATCTGCTGCTCTCTCATCTGCTGGCCATTGGATTGAGGATCTACACTGGAACACATCAGGCAACCTTCACCAGCACTTTTTGATAAAGAATTGGAATTTGACTCTTTTTACATAGTAGAACTATATCTGAGATTGCAACATATCTAACTGAAGACTATTATGATTCATGATTTTTGGGTAGTCACGTCACTTGCATTGATTTGTTCTGTAAGAGTGGCATTCCTAATTTAGTAAAACATAAGAATAGACTGTAAGGCAGGACGCGGTGGCTCACACCTGTAATCCCAGCACTTTAGGAGGCTGAGGCAGGTGGATCACCTAGGTCGAGAGTTGAAGACCAGCCTGGCCAACAGGGTGAAACCCCATCTCTACTAAAATACAAAAACTAGCCAGGCGTGGTGGCAGACAACTGTAATCCCAGCTACTTAGGGGTTGAGACAAGAGAATCGCTTGAACCCAGGAGGTAGAGGTTGCAGTGAGCTGAGATCACGCCACTGCACTCTAGCCTGGGTGACAGAGCCAGACTCCATCTCAAAAACAACAACAACAAAAAGATAGAATGTAAAATTTTTCTAACCTACTACTCTATCTTTTTTTGTTGTTTTGTTTTTTGAGACAGAGTTTTGATCTTGTTGCCCAGGCTGGAGTGCAATGTTGCAATCTCAGCTCACTGCAGCCTCCACCTCCCGGGTTCAAGTGATTCTCCTGCTTCAGTCTCCTGATTAGCTAGGATTACAAGCATGCACCACCATCCCCTGCTAATTGTGCATTTTTTTTTAGTAGAGACGGGGTTTCTCCATGTTGGTCAGGGTGGTCTCAAACTCCTGACCTCAGGTGATCCGCCTGCCTTGGCCTCCCAAAGTGCTGTGATTATAGGTGTGAGCCACCATGCCCAGCTGACCTATTATTATATTTTTGGGATGAATTAATAAGCATGTCAGATTAATATCTACTGTAACAATTAGTAAATTTTCTTTGGATATTAGATATAAATATCTAAGTATAAATAATCTTAATATACTAGTAATGACATACATTTTTAAAATTATCTGTAACCTTCACTCAGTTATAATACTTTATATTTCAAAAGAATAAATAACGATATTAAAATTACTATTTAAGGGATTTATTCATAGTAAATATTGTGGCCTTATATTCACATGATTGTAGAAAATACTGTTTAATTTACATGGATGAATGTTGTCTACTGAAGACTACATAAAACTATGTTAATTCTTTTTTTATTTTTTATTTTTTTTAATTTATTATTATACTTTAAGTTTTAGGGTACATGTGCAAAATGTGCAGGTTTGTTACATATGTATACATGTGCCATGTTGGTGTGCTGCACCCATTAATTTGTCATTTAGCATTAGGTATATCTCCTAATGCTCTCCCTCCCCCATCCCCCCACACTGACCTCACATAGGATTCCAGAACACTGCTGGGTTCTGAGTGTTTGTCCCTCACATAGGATTCCAGAACTGTTCTGTAGTCCTTTGTAAGGGATAAACATTCAGACCCTCGTAGCAGTGTTCCAGAATCCTATATGAGGGACAAAAACTCAGAACCCAGGAGCAGTGTTCTGGAATCCTCTGTGAGGGACAAACACTCAGAACACAACAGCAGTGTTCTGAAACCTTATGTGAGGGACAAACACTCAGAACCCAGCAGCAGTGTTCTGGAATCCTATGTGATGGACAAATACCCAGAACCCATCCACTGTCTTCTGGAATCCTATCTGAGGGACAAACATTCAGACACTTGCAGAAGTGTTCTGGAATCCTATGTGAGGGACAAACAGTCAGCAACCAGGAGCAGTGCTCTGAAATCCTTTGTAAGGGACAAACAAACAGAATCCAGTAGCAGGGTTCTGGAATCCTTTCTGAGGGAAAAACATTCAGACCCTCTTAGCAGTGTTCTGGAATCCTATGTGCGGGACATTCAGACCCTCGTAGCAGTGTTCTGGAAACCAATGTGAGTGCCAAACACTCAGAACCCAGCAGCAGTGTTGTGGAATACTTGGTAAGGAACAAACATTCAGACAATCGTAGCATTGTTCTGGAATCCTAAGTGAGGGACAAACACTCAGAAATGAGCTGCAGTGTTCTAGAATTCTATGTAAGGGACAAACCCTCAGTACCGAGTGGCAGTGTTCTGGAATTCTATGTGAGGGACAAACACTCAGAACAAAGCAGCAGTGTTCTGGAATCCTCTGTGAAAGACAAACACTCAGATCCCAGCAGCAGTGTTCTGACACCCTATGTGAGGGACAAACACTCAGAACCCAGCCACTGTGTTCTGAAATCCTATCTGAAGGACAAACATTCGGAGCCTCGTAGAATTGTCCTGGAATCCTATGTGAGGGACAAACACTCAGAAACCTATAGCAGTGTTCTGGAATCCTTTGTGATGGACAAACAAACAGAGCCCAGCAGCCGTGTACTGGAATCCTATTTGACAGACAAACACTCAGAACTCAGAAGCAGTGTTCTGGAATCCTTTGTGATGGACAAACAAACAGAGCCCAGAAGCCGTGTACTGGAATCCTATTTGACAGACAAACACTCAGAACTCAGAAGCAGTGTTCTGGAATCGTATGTGAGGGACAAACACTTTGAATCTAGCAGTTATGTACTGGAATCCCATGTGAGGGACAAACACTCAGAACCCATCAGCAGTGTTCTGGAATCCTATGTGAGTGACAAACACTAAGAAACCAGCAGCAGTGTTCTAGAATCCTTTGTGAGGGACAAACATTCAGACCATCGAAGCAGTGTTCTGGAATCCTGTGTGAGGGACAAACACTCAGATCCAGCAACAGTCTTCTAAAATCCTTTGTGATGGACAAAAATTCAGACCGTCGTAGCCGTTTTCTGGAATCCAAGGTGAGGGACAAACACTCAGAACCCAGCAGCAGTGTTCTGGAATCCTATGTGAGGGACAAACACTCAGATCCAGCAGCAGTGTTCTGGAATACTCTGTGAGGGAAAAACATTCAGACACTCTTAGCAATGTTCTGGAATCCTATGTGAGGGAAAAACATTCAGATACTCATAGCATTGTTCTGGAATTCTATATGAGGGGCAAACACTCAGAACCCAGCAAAAGTGTTCTGGAGTCCTTTGTGAGGGAAAAACATTCAGACCCTCGAAGCAGTGTTCTGGAATCCTATGTGAGGGACAAACAATCAGAACCCAGAAGCAGTTTTCTGGAATCTTATGTGAGGGAGAAACACTTAGAACCCAGCAGCAGTGTTCTGGAATCCCGTGTGAGTGGCAAACATTCAGAACCCAGCAGCATTGTTCTGGAATCCTATTTGAGTGACAAACATTCAGAACTTCGTACCTGTGTTCTGGAATGCTATGTGAGGGACAAACACTCAGAACCGAGCAGCAGTGCTCTGGAATCCTATGTGAGGGTCAAACACTAAGAACCCAGCAGCAGTGTTCTGGAATCCTTTGTGAGGGACAAACATTCAGAACCTTGTAGCAGTGTTCTGGAATTTTATGTGAGGGAAAACACTCTGAACCCAGCAGGAGTGTTTTCAAATCCCATGTGAGGGACAAACACACAGAACCCTGCAGCAGTGCTCTGGAATACTTTGTGAGGGACAAACATTGAGACTCTCAAAGCAGTTTTCTGGAATCCATTGTGAGGGACAGTCAGAACCCATAGCAGTGTTATGAATCCTTTGTGACAGACAAACATTCAGACCATTGTAGCAGTGTTCTGGAATCCTATGTGAGGGAAAAACATTCAGACCGTCGTAGCATTGTTCTGGAATTCTATATATGGGACAAACACTCAGAACTCAGCAGCAGTGCTCTGGAACCCTATGTGAGGGGAAAACACTCAGAACCCAGCAGGATTGTTCTGGAATGCTATGTGTGGGACAAACACTCAGAACCCAGCAGCAGAGTTCTGGAATCCTATGTGAAGGACAAACACTCAGAACACAGCAGCTGTGTTCTGGAATCCTTTGTGACGGACAAAGTTTCAGAACCTCACAGCAGTGTTCTGGAATCCTATGTGAGGGACAAACACTTAGAACCCAGCAGCAGTGTTCTAGAATCCTTTGAGAGGGAAAAACATTCAGACTCTTGAAGCAGTGTTCTGGAATCCTATGTGATGGACAAACACTCAGAACCCAGGAGCAATATTCCGGAGTCCTTTGTGATGGACAAGCATTCCGACCCTCGTAGCAGTGTTCTGCAATCCTATGTGAGGGACAAACACTCAGAAGCCAGCAGCTTTGTTCTGGAATCCCATGTGAGGGATAAACTCTCAGAACCCAGCAGCAGTGTTCTGTAATCCTATATGAGTGAGAAACACTCAGAACCCTGCAGCAGTTTTGTAGATTCCACTGTGAGATACAAACATTCAGACCCTCGTAGAAGTGTTCTGGAATCCTATGTGAGGGAAAAACTCTCAGAAACCTGCAGCAGTGCACTGGAGTCCCTTGTGAGGGACAAACAAACACAACTGAGCAGCAGTGTTCTGGAATCCTTTGAGAGGCAAAAATATTCAGACCCTCATAGCAGTGTTCTGGAATCCTACGTGAGGGACAAACACTCAGAACCCAGCAGCAGTATTCTGGAATCCTATGTGGGGGGCAAACACAACCCAGCTGCAGTGTTCTGGAATCCTCTGTGAGCGACAAACGTTCAGAAATTTGTAGCAGTGTTCTGAAATTCTATATGAGGGACAAACACTCAGAACCCAGCCACTGTGTTCTGGAATCCTATGTGAGGGACAATCATACAGACCCTCGTAGATGTGTTCTGTAATCTTATCTGAGGGACAAACATTCAGACCTTAGTATCAGTGTTCTGGAATCCTATGTGAGGGACAAACGCTCATAACCCAGCAGCACTGTTCTGGAATCCTATGTGAGGGACAAACACTCAGAACCCAGCAGCAGTACTCTGGAATAATTTGTGAGGGACAAACATTCAGACAATCATAGCAGTGTTCTGGAATCCTATGTGAGGGACAAACACTCAGAATGCAGCAGCAGTGTTCTGGAATCCTATGTGAGGGACAAACACTTAGAACCCAGCAGCACTGTTCTGGAATCCTATGTGAGGGACAAACACTCGGAAAGCCACAGCAGTGTTCTGGAATCCTATGTGAGGGTCAAACACTCAGAAACCTGCAGCAGTGCTCTGGATTCCTTTGTGAGGGACAAACAAACAGAACCCAGCAACAGAGTTCTGGAATCCTATGTGAGGGACAAACACTCAGAACCCAGCAGCAGCATTCTGGAAACCTTTGTGAGGGACAAACATTCAGATCCTCATAGCAGTGTTCTGGAATCCTATGTGAGAGACAAACACTAAGAAAGCTGCAGCAGTGTTCTAGAATCCTATGTGAGGGACAAACACTCAGAGCCCAGCAGCAGTGTTCTGGAATCCTATGTGAGGGACAAACACTCAGAACCCAGCAGCAGTGTTCTGGAATCCTTTGTGAGGGACAAACATTCAGAACCTCGTAGCAGTGTTCTGGAATCATATGTGAGGGATAACACTCTGAACCCAGCAGGACTGTTTTCGAATCCCATGTGAGGGACAATCCCTTAGGACCCTGCAGCAGTGTTCTGGAATCCTATGTTAGTGACAAACTCTCAGAACCAGAAGCAGAGGGAAAAGAAACTACCAAGGGTAGCCAAGATGACCAAATAGGAACAGCTCCGGTCTACAGCTCCAAGCATCAGCAACGCAGAAGATGGGTGATTTCTGCATTTCCATCTCAGGTACCAGGTTCATCTCACTAGGGAGTGCCAGACAGAGGATGCAGGACAGTGGGTGCAGTGCACAGTGCATGAGCTGAACCAGGGTGAGGCATTGCCTCACTCGGGAAGCACAAGAGGTCAGGGAGTTCCCTTTCCTAGTCAAAGAAAGGGGTGAGAGACGGCACCTGGAAAATCGGGTCACTCCCACCCTAATACTGCACTTTTCCAAGGGTCCTAACAAACGGTGCACCAGGAGATTATATCCCGCACATGGCTCAGAGGGTGCTACGCCCATGGAGTCTCGCTGATTGCTAGCACAGCAGTCTGAGATCAAACTGCAAGGTGGCAGAGAGGCTTGGAGAGGGTCGCTTGCCATTGCCCAGGCTTGCATAAGTAAACAAAGCAGCCAGGAACTCGAACTGGGTGGAGCCCACCACAGCTCAAGGAGGCCTGCCTGCCTCTTTAGGCTCCACCTCTGGGGGCAGGGAACAGACAAACAAAAAGACAGCAGTAACCTCTGCAGACTTAAATGTCCCTGTCTGACAGTTTTGAAGAGAGCAGTGGTTCTCCCAGCACACAGCTGGAGACCTGAGAATGGGCAGACTGCCTCCTCAAGTGGGTCCCTGACCCCTGACCCCCAAGCAGCCCAACTGGGAGGCAATCCCCAGTACGGGCAGAATGACACCTCACACGGCTGGGTACTCCTCTGAGACAAAACTTCCAGAGGAATGATCAGACAGCAACATTTGCGGTTCATGAAAATCTGCTGTTCTGCAGCCACTGCTGCTGATACCCAGGCAAACAGGGTCTGCAGTGGACGTCTAGCAAACTCCAACAGACCTGCAGCTGAGGGTCCTGTCTGTTAGAAGGAAAACTTACAAAGAGAAAGGACATCCACACCTAAAACCCATCTGTACATCACCATCATCAAAGACCAAAACTAGATACAACCACAAAGATGGGGAAAAAACAGAGCAGAAAACCTGGAAATTCTAAAAAGTAGAGCACCTCTCCTCCTAAAAAGGAACACAGTTCCTCACCAGCAATGGAAAAAAGCTGGGCAGAGAATGACTTTGATGAGTTGAGAGAAAAAGGCTTCAGACGATCAAACTGCTCCAAGCTACAGGAGGAAATTCAAACCAAAGGCAAAGAAGTTAAAAACTTTGAAAAAAATTTAGACGAATGTATATCTAGAATAACCAATAAAGAGAAGTACTGAAAGGAGCTGATGGAGCTGAAAGCCAAGGCTCGAGAACTACATGAAGAATGTGGAAGCCTCAGGAGCCAATGTGATCAACTGGAAGAAAGGGTATAAGTGATGGAAGAAGAAATGAATGAAATGAAGTGAGAAGGGAAGTTAGAGAAAAAATAATAAAATGAAATGAACAAACCTCCAAGAAATATGGGACTATGTGAAAAGACCAACTCTCCGTCTGATGGGTGTACCTGAAAGTGATGGGGAGAATGGAACCAAGTTGGAAAACACTCTGCAGGATATTGTCCAGGAGAACTTCCCCAATCTAGCAAGGCAGGCCAACATTCAGATTCAGGAAATACAGACAACACCACAAAGATACTCCTCGAGAAGAGCAACTCCAAGACACATAATTGTCAGATTCACCAAAGTTGAAAGGAAGGAAAAAATGTTAAGGGCAGCCAGAGAGAAAGGTCGGATTACCCACAAAGGGAAGACCATCAGACTAACAGCAGATCTCTTGGCAGAAACTCTAGAAGCCAGAAGAGAGTGGGGGCCAATATTCAACATTCTTAAAGAAAAGAATTTTCAGCCCAGAATTTCATATCCAGCCAAACTAAGCTTCATAAGTGAAGGAGAAATAAAATCCTTTACAGACAAGCAAATGCTGAGAGATTTTGTTACCACCAGGCCTGCCCTAAAAGAGCTCCTGAAGGAAGTACTAAACATGGAAAGGAACAACCGGTATCAGCCTCTGCAAAATCATGCCAAAATGTAAAGATCATCGAGACTAGGAAGAAACTGCATCAACTAACGAGCAAAATAACCAGCTAGCATCATAATGACAGGATCAAATTCACACATAACAATATTAACTTTAAGCGTAAATGGACTGAATGCTCCAATTAAAAGACACAGACTGGCAAATTGGATAAAGAGTCATGACTTATCAATGTGCTGTATTCAGGAACCCATCTCATGTGCAGAGACACACATAGGCTCAAAATAGAAGGATGGAAGAAGATCTACTAAGCAAATGGAAAACAAAAAAAGACAGGGGTTGCAATCCTAGTCTCTGATAAAACACACTTTAAACCAACAAAGATCTAAAGAGACAAAGAAGGCCACTACATAATGGTAAAGGGACTAATTCAACAAGAAGAGCTAACTATCCTAAATATATATGCACCCAATATAGGAGCCCCCAGATTCATAAAGCAAGTCCTGAGTGACCTACAAAGAGACTTAGACTCCCACACAATAATAATGAGAGATTTTAACAACCCACTGTCAACATTAGACAGATAAATGAAACAGAAAGTTAACAAGGGTACACAGGAATTGAACTCAGCTCTGCACTAAGCGGATCTAATAGACATCTACAGAACTCTCCACCCCAAATCCAACAGAATATACATTCTTCTCAGCACCACAACACACCTATTCCAAAATTGACCACATACTTGGAAGTAAATCTCTACTCAGCAAATGTAAAAGAAAAGAAATCATAACAAACTGTCTCTCAGACCACAGTGCAATCAAACTAGAATCCAGGATTAACAAACTCACTCAAGACCGCTCAACTACATGGAAAACGAACAACCTGCTCCGGAATGACTACTGGGTACATAACGAAATGAAGGCAGAAATAAAGATGTTCTTTGAAACCAACGAGAACAAAGACACAACATACCAGAATCTCTGGGACACATTCAAAGCAGTGTTTAGAGGGAAATTTATAGCACTAAATGCCAACAAGAGAAAGCAGGAAAGATCCAAAATTGACACCCTAACATGACAATTAAAGGAACTAGAAAAGCAAGAGCAAACACATTCAAAAGCTAGCAGAAGGCAAGAAATAACTAAAATCAGAGCAGAATTGAAGGAAATACAGGAGCTGGTTTTTTGAAAAGATCAACAAAATTGATAGATCACTAGCAAGACTAATAAAGAAGATAAGAGAAGAATCAAATAGACGCAATAAAAAATGATAAAGGGGTTATCAGCACTGATCCCACAGAAATACAATCTACCATCAGAGAATACTACAAACACCTCTACGCAAATAAACTAGAAAATCTAGAAGAAATGGATAAATTCCTCAACACATACACTGTCCCAAGGCTAAACCAGGAAGAAGTTGAATCTCTGAATAGACCAATAACAGGATCTGAAATTGTGGCAATAATCAATAGCTTACCAACAAAAAGAGTCCAGGACCAGATGGATTCACAGCCGAATTCTACCAGAGGTACAAGGAGGAACTGGTACCATTCCTTCTGAAACTATTCCAATCAATAGAAAAAGAGGGAGTCCTCCCTAACTCATTTTATGAGGCCAGCATCATCCTGATACCAAAGCCGGGCAGAGACACAACCAAAAAAGAGAATTTTAGACCAATATCCTTGATGAACATTGATGCAAAAATCCTCAATAAAATACTGGCAAACCGAATCCAACAGCACATCAAAAAGCTTATCCACCATGATCAAGTGGGTTTCATCCCTGGGATGCAAGGCTGGTTCAATATACGCAAATCAATAAATGTAATCCAGCATATAAACAGAGCCAAAGACAAAAACCACATGATTATCTCAATAGATGCAGAAAAGGCCTTTGACAAAATTCAACAACCCTTCATGCTAAAAACTCTCAATAAATTAGGTATTGATGGGATGTATTTCAAAATAATAAGAGCTATCTATGACAAACCCACAGCCAATATCATACTGAATGGGCAAAAACTGGAAGCATTCCCTTTGAAAACTGGCACAAGACAGGGTTGCCCTCTCTCACCACTCCTATTCCACATAGTGTTGGAAGTTCTGGCCAGGGCAATCAGGCAGGAGAAGGAAACAAAGGGTATTCAATTAGGAAAAGAGGAAGTCAAATTGTCCCTGTTTGCAGATGACTTGATTGTATATCTAGAAAACCCCATTGTCTCAGCCCAAAATCTCCTTAAGCTGATGAGCAACTTCAGCAGTCTCAGGATAAAAAATCAATTTACAAACATCACAAGCATTCTTATACACCAACAACAAACAGAGTGCCAAATCATGAGCGAACTCCCATTCACAATTGCTTCAAAGAGAGAAAAATACCTAGGAATCCAACTTACAAGGGACGTGAAATACCTCTTCATTGAGAACAACAAACCACTGCTCAATGAAATAAAAGAGGATACAAACAAATGGAAGAACATTCCATGCTCATGGGTTGGAAGAATCAATATCATGAAAATGGCCATACTGCCCAAGGTAATTTATAGATTCAGTGCCATCCCCATCAAGCTACCAATGACTTTCTTCACAGAATTGAAAAAAACAACTTTAAAGTTCATATGGAACCAAAAAACAGCCTGCATCGCCAAGTCAATCCTAAGCCAAAAGAACAAAGCTGGAGGCATCACGCTACCTGACTTCAAACTATACTACAAGGCTACAGTAATCAAAACAACATGGTACTGGTACCAAAATGGAGACATAGATCAATGGAACCGAACAGAGCCCTCAGAAATAATGCCACATAACTACAACTATCTGATCTTTGACAAACCTGAGAAAAACAAGCAATGAGGAAAGATTCCCTATTTAATAAATGGTGCTGGGAAAACTGGCTAGCCATATGTAGAAAGCTGAAACTGGATCCCTTCCTTACACCTTATACAAAAATTAATTCAAGATGGATGAAATACTGACATGTTAGACCTAAAACCATAAAAACCCTAGAAGAAAACCTAGGCAATACTACTCAGGACATAGGCATGGGAAAGTACTTCATGTCTAAAACACCAAAAGCAATGGCAACAAAAGCCAAAATTGACAAATGGGATCTAATTAAACTAAAGAGCTTCTGCACAGCAAAAGAAACTACCACCAGAGTGAACAGGCAACCTACAAAATGGGAGAAAATTTTTGCAACCTACTCATCTGACAAAGGGCTAATATCCAGAATCTACAATGAACTCAAACAAATTTACAAGAAAAAAACAAACAATCCCATGAAAAAGTGGGCGAAAGACAGGAACAGACACTTCTCAAAAGAAGACATTTATGCAGCCAAAAAACACATGAAAAAATACTCATCATCACTGGCCATCAGAGAAATGCAAATCAAAACCGCAATGGGATACCATCTCACACCAGTTAGAAAGGCGATCATTAAAAAGTCAGGAAACAACAGGTGCAGGAGAGGATGTGGAGAAACAGGAACACTTTTACACTGTTGGTGGGACTGTAAACTAGTTCAACCATTGTGGAAGTCAGTGTGGCGATTCCTCAGGGATCTAGAACTAGAAATACCATTTGACCCAGCCATCCCATTACTGGGTATATACCCAAAAGACTATAAATCATGCTGCTATAAAGACACATGCACAAGTATGTTTATTGCGGCAGTATTCACAATAGCAAAGACTTGGAACCAACCCAAATGTCCAACAACGATAGACTGGATTAAGAAAATGTGGCACATATACACCATGGAATACTATGCAGCCATAAAAAATGATGAGTTCATGCCCTTTGTAGGGACATGGATGAAACTGGAAATCATCATTCTCAGTAAACTATCACAAGGACAAAAAAGCAAACACCGCATATTCTCACTCATAGTTGGGAATTGAACAATGAGAACACATGGACACAGGAAGGGGAACATCACACTTCGGGGACTGTTGTGTGGTGGGGGGAGGGGGAGGGATAACATTAGGAGATATTCCTAATGCTAAATGACGAGTTAATGGGTGCAGCACACCAACATGGCACATGAATACTTACGTTACAAACCTGCACATTGTGCACATGTATCCTAAAACTTTAAGTATAATAATAAAATAAAATAAAATAAAAAAGCAAAATATACACTAATACAGATTAACCAACTAAAAAAAAGTAGAGAAAGGTCATTTAAAAAATATAAAGCATACAGTAATAATCTAACACGTTGAAATCTAAGAAGGAGAAAACAGCTGGTCTGAACAGCATTTTAAGTGGCAATGTTAGAGGTTTTATCAAAATTGACCAATAATATTAAACCACAGGTTCAGGAGGCTTTGCAAACCAAAAGAAAACACACACAGAGGACACACCTAGAAACATAATGGGACAATTTCTGAAAAGTAAAAGAAAAATGTCAAGAGCACTTGATAAAAAAATTGGGCTAACTATAAACAGAAAGAGTTGACTGATAACAACCGTGTCAAATGAAACAATGAAAGCCAACAAGTGAGGTATTGATACCTTTCAAGTCCTGAAATAAAATAAGTGCCGACCTAGAACTGTCTATTTGGTGGACATATCCATCAAAAACAAAGATACAATAAAGAATTTCTCCCAAGCAGACCCACAGGAAAGGAAATTGTAAAGATTATTCTTCAGGTAGAAGAGCCATGATCCCTGATGAAAGTTTGCAGTTAGAAGAACGCTTTTTTTTTAATGAAAGAAGTAAACACAGAGAGAAATTTAATTGGATATCGACGGTATAACAGAATGCTATCTCATAAAGTTTAAAATGTATCTTCCATACAACAGCAGAAGCATATAAGTTGTGAGTTGGATAAATTAATTTAAAAATATTGTCAAGTTTTTTTGCAAATAGATAAACGTACCAATTATATTAGACCCTGAATTCGAGAATGCACGTTATAATAAACCAGTTAAAACATACTCAGACCAGATTTTTCAATGGACTCTCTTAAAGTTTTTATAATTTATATTTATATTTCACATATGTTGAAACTAAATAATGGAAAAGCATGCAATGCAAATATTAACCAAAATATAGCTTTAGTTGTACTTATATTCACATTTTAAAAGTTGGACACAGTTAAGTCTCAGTGATTTTTTTACACAACGGAAGCAAGCTGTGCAGTTATAACTAACTAGTATTATATTATGCTCTTGGCCTGATTACAGAAGGGAAAGGGGCGATCATACCAGACAATGGCAGAATGAAGCAACAAGGAGTAGAGTTACAGAACATGATGCTGTAAATGGGACTGGAGGTACTCTTTTAGAGTTAAAGAATAGTAAACTGGACAAAATATATGAAACTTTTTTTGAAGTACTGAACATCAGGCAGCACAGTACTGTGCTCCGCAAGAGAAGAGAAGGAGCCAGAATGAGTCCTGCTTTATTCCCAGGTTCTCCGTGACAGCAGTAGAGAGGAATCCCAGAGACAGCAGACATTGTCATTGCACTGAGGAACCAGATAAAAATCAAAAAAGGTTAAGCAGCTGGAATGTGTAGTAGAAGAGAACGTTTACAGAAAAAGGAACCAATAATCAGCCTAAGGTTTCTCCCAAGTCCCTAAGTCAAAGGTACATAGGATGAAATTCTAAGGAGCTCAGCAAAAGACTCTACCACGGAGTTGGAAGAACACTTCCCTGGCATCACATGAAAGGAAGACATGTTAGCTCTGACCAGCCAGAGATGGGAATCCCCTCTGTACCTCCAGGATATTCAGTAAAGACCACTGGAGGTTCATGCCCCAGTGACAGTGCTCATTTAGCTCCAAATTACAGATGGCTCTAGACTAACTCCACAAAGTTTAAAGAGAAGATTTAAAACAACAACAGAAAAATACTCATCCTGAAGTTACTGAACTGCCTGCCACAACATTGTTCAAAGGTAGCCAATAAAATCTAGATATTCAATAGCATAACATCAAAATACCCCCCCCCAAAAAAAACTCTGACATGCAAAGAAGCCGGAAGATATATATTATTAAGATATATATTAACAGTATAAAAATAAGTCGTTTATAAATGACAGAGAAGAAGGAATTTTCAAGGCCCTTAAAGTAAATATATTTTATAAATACATATAGATAAATACATATATATGTCAAAGTACTTAAATGAAAATTGATCATAGGAGAAAAATAGAAGTTATAAAATGAAAAATGTGACATGTATAGATGAAAAATAAACATTTGAAATAAAAATTCCATGAGATAGAATAAGTTATGGATTTTACCCTAACATCAGAAAATTTATAGAAAAAAATAGAAGCTTTCCAAACTAAAGGACAAAGGGTAAACTAAAATAAGAAAGCCAGAAACTCACTGATACGTGAGACAATATGCAGCAGTGTAACATACATGTAATTAATATCTCAAAAAGGATGGGTGGGGGAATTATAGTTGAATAAAGAATGGTACACTCATTCCTGAGGGCACCGAGGAGGGAGGATAGCTTGAGATTCCTAAGGGAGGGTATTATCCATTCATGAAAGTCCATCCCCATGACACAACACCTCCCAGTAAGCCCCACTTCCAACATTGGGGATCAAATTTTAACGTGAGATTTGGAAGGGGCAATCATTCAAACCATAGCAAGAGTTAAATTTCCTTTTAAAGAAAATCACTGATATGATTCCATTTCGCCATAGATAAAAACTAGTATTTCAGCCTACCATTGAGTGTACTTATAGCTAACGGAAAGGGCACTCTGTTTCGGGAATACAGATTTGCCTAGAGGTATCCTATTGCAGTCAAAGAAAGAGCAATGAGGGATAGAAAAGGTTAGTGATGGAGACACCAACGCTGCATTTTACAACAAACAATGTAAAAACTTTACGGATTGCTTCTTCTAACTTACTACAGTATACATTCCTCTCAGGTGGGAAAATTGTTGAGTTTTTTCTTAAGATAGAAAAGCAATTCAGACAATCTGAAATCTCCACAAGAAGGATAAGAAGCACAGCAGAAGCTATTCTAGGCAGGAAGTCAATCCATTCAACTGTCTGTGCTCCATAGAAACAATTGTCTGCACTGGGAGTCGTACGAGGTACAGACAACAGCCAGACCTCTGATCCTCTCATTAGTGATTTCAGAAGAAATTACCAGTCAGCTGAGTAATTCACTGAGTAAACATTTGGCACTGACAGAGGTTAGACGGATAACTATTTGTATCACCATATTCATGAAGCTGGAATATTTTCCATTACTTGTATCATATATGAATGGAAGATGTTAAAAGGTCTCTCATCTTGTAAGATGGATATGAAAGAACACTTTCTGAGAAATGAAATTATTCACACACCAGCGAGGTGGATGGAAGAGAAAAAAAAGAATAATCAGCTTGAGTTCTTCTCCTTGATAAGACAACTTACTAAAAACATAAAGAGAAAAATACAAGTTTAAAATAATTAACCAGAAGAAGACGACTCTAGAGTTTTTAAATTGCTGATAAGATTTTAATTTGCTCCAAGTTGAAAATAACTATATTGCTTGTGTTTTAAGGTACATAATGAGCAATTATATCACACATGATAGATTCAGCAGTAAAATATTATCTGTTAACAGCTGGAACTCATAAAAGCATAGCACAATGTGAAGATGGAATTTGCTAAAATAAACCATCTGCTGGAAAAATACTATTCTGCAAATTTAAAAATAAAGTTTAAATGTTATTTGTCTTATTTAATAGGTCTGTGAAAAAATGCGATATTTGAAAAGTAGGTGCTACCTTAATTAGTTCTTTATACTAGACAGCTGGTTACAGTAATGCACAGTAAGGTGCTACATACAAATATTGCTAAATTTTCTGCATATACTATGTATTTAGCTTAAATTATTTGAAATTTTACAGTTAAAGTAACAAATGTATATTTAAATGTTTTGACACAAATTGCAAATATACCTTTAAAAAGCGTCTTACACTCTAAATATTATTTTTCACATATATATATGTCTTTTCTCTATAGGAAAGTTTAAATTTTTCCCTTGAAGCTTTAATTATTTGAGTCTATAAAACAAACCAAAAATGTACAAATTAACAGGAAAAAAAGGTTTACAGATATGTGCACAAGTATGCACTTGGAGTTTACATAATATATATGAATATATCTATACACATATTTGTATATTATAAATAGATATACAAATATATACTATATATATAAAAACTCCAGGAAAGGCAAGGTAGTCAACACGCCTATGCCATCTTGAGGTTACAGAAAACACAGAGCTGTAGGTTGGTAAATCAGGCTTTGCGGAAGACAGGTGATGACAAGGAAGAAAGAGGAGCCTGGTAGCAGAGGTGGTCTTGTTCCATGGATGAAACCTCACAGGGAGCAGCCCTCCTCTTGGGAAGTATAGATAGGAAATGGTTTTTAGAAATGTAAACGTGCCAGGCTCAGTTAATCTTTCCTAAACCCACACAAGGGAGTATCTCAGGAAAAGACTGTCTATATCAATGCAGATATTCTCTACAAATGCAAATCTCCCCAACAAACACAGCTTTTCAGCTATTCTTGTAGAAGAAGCTATCTCCAGTCTTCCGAGTAGCCATCTTGAAATATGTCAAAAAGCTGCCCAGGCGCACGCCTGTAATCCCAGCACTTTGGGAGGCTGAAGTGGGTAGATCACCTGAAGTCAGGAGTTGGAGACCAGCCTGACCAACGTGGTGAAACCCCGTCTCTACTAAATACAAAAAATTAGCCGAGTGTGGTGGTGCATGCCTGTAATCTCAGCTACTTGGGAGGCTGAGCTAGGAGAATAACTTGACCCTGGGAGGCTGAGGTTGCAGTGAGCCAAGATTGTGCCATTGCACTCTAGCCTGGGCAATAAAAGCAAAACTCCATCTCAAAAAACAATGTATTTTAGGGTAATATTTTCAGTATCTTTACCTCCATATGTACAATAAATATTATTGTGATTTTTAATCTTTTTTGTGGAGGAAACACAGGTGTGATTTCTAGTGTAGCTGAACATCGTTTATTTGACAATATTGCACTTGTGTGTGGGTGTGTGCGTGTGTAGCTACTCTTTAATTTTGTTCTCACATAATGATTAGATATTAACAATTAATTCAGTAAAATGTATGTTTTGCAATATTTCTCCATGTTATCATGCTTTAAATTAGTTTAATCATGACCCTATAATGTGTACATTTTAACCTTTGACTATAGGTCTCAATCTTACTTTGGTTCCTGTATTTGAATTTATGCTAATAAAGTCCTACAGCTAAAAAAGATTATATAAACTTATCTACATTTTTACTAGTATTCTGGTGTCATTTTAAATTATGTAATGAAATCAAATTTTAATTTGGATTATTGTTATCTGAGTTAAGGATGTAAATTTTTAATATTCTTATAAATATTACATAATTATTTCTGAACCATATATTGACTAATCTGCCCTTTATATGATGTGCATTATAAGAGCTTGGGATTGTTTCATTTGCAAAGATGAATGCTTGAGAAGTAGATATTTAATCATAACGTTTCAAAATCTATTGGATAACCTAGAATTGAAAAATAGCCTATAGGTTGAAAAACTCCTGTAGTGAAGGAAGAAAATAACTAATATACAGTGACAATATAAATATTATAAGTATTTATTTTATTATCGCCCTGAAATTTGATAATACAAACATGTAATATCTACATATCATCCATATATCATGTCATAAAAAAATCAATACATTCTTCAAAAATTTAGCATAACAGAAAATGAACTCTCTCTCCTTGATGGAATTAAGTTACAAATAAAAGTAAAAAATAAATAGATAAGTAGATGGAAGTAGATGTTTGAAAACAAAGAAAAATACTTGTTTTGGATAACATAAAATCTCAATTGACAATTCCAATATTTCCAGAACTTTCCCTGTCAACTGGTGGAGAGTTTTCCCCAGGAGACATTTGTCAATGTCTAGTGTTATTGTGGGGATGTCAAGACTGGTGGAGGTGTGAAATTTAGAGGTCAAACGAAACACCTAGCATTGCTAGGGCAGCCTCCCACAGCAAAGAATCCTCTGGTCCTAAAGGTAAGTAGCACCAAGGTTGAGAAACCATAATCTAGACAGTAAACACTACGTAGCTATTCCAAGTGCTCAGGAAAACACATCAGTGCCCTTGGGGGGAAAAGTGTGAACATTTTAATTGCCGTACATGGTGACACAAATCCATGTTGTTAATCTAAGTGGAAGGGGCTGAAGCACAAAATGTAATTCAAAGAGTTTACTTGAGCCAAAATGAGGACAGCTGCCTGGAAGAAACAGACCCAAGTATCCTTGGATATGAACTCCCTTTGGAGCTTTGCAACAAGCAGTTTCTTAAAGGCAAAAAAGGGTCCAGAAGTGGGATGATGCAAATAGGTTTGTCACAAATTCTCATTGGCTTATGGAAATAGCATTTATTAGTGACTGGCTATACACTGTTACACTATTATTGGGTGTGGATTATACTATCTGGTGTGGCGTTATTGGTTAATTAATAGCTACTGTGGCAACAGCAAGCAGCCTAGATGAACACACAGCTCAAAGAGGAGCAGGACAGAACTGCTGTCTCATTTGAATATCTCTCTGGGCCTGATTATTTAAAAGGACTTGCATTTCTCACATGAAAGTTATTTTCTTTTCTCAATGTCCATAAATGAGAATAAATAGACGTAAAAGAGATCTTTTCGAGGATGAAGTAAATGGAATGAAAAACAAAACCCAAGCTGAACAGAAATCATAGAGGGAAGAAAAGGTTATAAATATATGGATTTGTCAGAGTGATTTTAAGCTATTAGGAATCAGTTAAATGTTTTGGGATTTTGTCTGAGAATGGGCTAAAGGAGAATGTCCCTTTTGCCTTCTGAAGTTTCCCTGAAAATCACTAATAGGAGGCAGATAAATAGTAGAAAAGGCATACAGGTTTCTGCAATGTGTGTACACTGGAGCCCTTAGAACGAAGACCCAGACACACGATGCGTGCAGAAGCTTATCTACCACATGAAGTTTACAGAAAGAATGGGGTCTTGGATCACAGGAAAAAAAAAAGGTTATGTGAGAAAACGACCCTGGCTAGCAACAGTGGACTTATTACATAGGTGAAACCTCACTGGGAGCAGTCCTCAGAGAGAATAGACAGAAAATGTTTCTTTCAGACCTTTGGAGACCTCAGATGCTCAGTTAACCTTTCCTAGATCCAGACAAGGGGGCAGACCTCAGAGAAAGCCTGGCTGCATCAAGGCAGATTCTCTACCAATGCAAATCTCCCCAAGACAGCTTTGCAGCTAAGTTTGCATTCCCAGCCCTTCTCAATAGCCATTTTGAAATATATCAAGGAAATATATTTAGGGGTAAAATATATTAGTTTCCTTCATACAGCTATAAAACATACAGGAATAATTTTTGTCAATGTCTACTACAAATCCAATGTAGCAGTAATTATAAAACCCACCAGATATTGAAGAAAAAATATGTAGAGTACATCAATTACAAATGTTGATACTAAAATGCCAAATAAAATAAAAATAATATCCAACAATGTTTGAAACAGTAAGACAAGAAATTGGCAAAAAAAATAAAACAAATATCCACCTTGGGGATGAAAGTGTGTTTCCAAATTTGGTAATCCAATAATATTAATAATAATATTGATTAGCCCAAATTAAAAATAAATAGGGGATTCTCAGTACATGCTAAAATATATTTGTTAAAAGGCAATATTCATGTCTGTAAAGATTTTAAATGCTGTAAAGAGTCTGATATTCTATATGCAAACATGTGTATGTCCATTAGAAGAAGAGAGGCCTGATTTTCATATGTTACTACATAGAGATAGAGAAGTGGATAGATTAATTTGCATACGCATAGAGAAAGCATAAAATAGAAATTTACTGTCATATTAAAGGAATTTTAATTCAACAATAAAATAATTCAAAGGTAAAATTTTAAATATTTTTAACAGGTACATTATTAATATTAGATAATATTTATGATAATTGTGAAAATATTCAATGCTAAAATAAGATACAATGTCTAAACATCAGTATTAAAACTAGTATAAATATTTGCTTGTTTATACAAGGAAAATTCAAGCTCGACCTAAAATTATATAGGAAATAAAAGAAAAATTTTAAGGGAGCTCTTTAATAACATAAACATATATATATACACACACACATATATAGCATGTATATATGTTATATGGGATAGATATAGATTTAACATGTTATATCTATATTTGTATCTATAACTACAGCTGTATGTATCTACATTTCTATATATTTACTCAGTGATATAAATATAGACTGGAATAAATATAAAGACACATATTATTCTTGGATAAAAAGGATTTAGTATCATAAAGACAAATTATTTCCAAATTCACTTATGAATTCACAACAATATACAGTTTCATTAGTATAATTTAAAATTTTTAAATAAATTCCAAGATTCATTTAAAGGAATATACATGTATACAAGCAGTCAAGAAAGAAGCAAGAGTGCACTAAAGTAACTTGCTATTGAAATACATTTTTAAACTTAGTAACTAAAACTGAGCAGTACTGATTTGGAGTACTGGAATTTAGGTATATGGGATCTCAAAAGCACAGAGCTCAAAGGAGACCCCTGTATGCACGAGAGCTTAGGATGTGCTTTGGAAGGCATTACCAAACCACGGACAAAGTTACTTTAGTTTCTTAGTCTTACTAGGTTTGAAAAGCCAGAGAAAAGACTCAAGACCACCATATAAGAGCAAAACAAAAGGACAGGGAGAGAATGTGAAGATACTGAAACTTTTACATAAAGTTGTATAAAATATCCTTTAAAGAAAATGTAAAGTTTAGGATATACATCAAAATCAGCAGAGCCACTAAATAAATAAATAGGCATTGTAAAATAGCAAGAGAAAATTTAAATGGATTTCTAAAAAATATTGACACCTATGATTTTTAAAATATGTTTAAGATATCCCGCATTTCACAGGGCAGCCTTTCACAACACAGATATGTTAGGACATAAAGGTTCTTCTGTTTTTAATTTACTAGTGTTTATAGGGTTACAAATGTCTTCTACCCTTGTCTTTTGTCTGATGGTGCAAAAAATTTTCATAAGCATGTATTTCTGAATGCCTGATGGATTGACATATATAATATGTTGCTAGTATTAAAATATGTGACGGAAAACGCATCCAATCTTCTCACTGTTTACATAAATTCTAGGTTTCTCCTATTTACCTCAAGCACGTATGGAGCGAATTCTTACCTTTTAATATTGCCATGGCATTCACATTGAACATAAGTTGAACTCTCTCATATGGTAGCTGGGTTCAGATTCCCTTGACAATTTCCAGTTCTAACCCTCACAGTTCCTCAGTGTGGCTGGCCTAGATATTGACCCTACACAGTTGCCTCCTCCTGGTGACTACCAGCTATGGAACCGTTGGATACAACCTACCTGACTCACCCCACAGACCTCACAGCGCACATGGACAGACCCCACACGCCAGAGTGACCTGCTCGGTTGCAGCGGGAGTCAAGAAATGTGCCTGCTGGCACTCACCCCACAGACTAGTGCCCCGTGGAAAACTTATTTGGGTAATGTTCTGGGCCGAATAAAGGCTGGAGTCCCACAGACCCCTTTTCTCTCTCCTGCTCCCCACTCATCTTCCCCATTTTGTTCAGCCCTATGAGGTGTGCTACTGTATTAGTCCGTTTTCACACTGCTGGTAAAGACATGCCCAAGACTGTGTAATTTCCAGAAGAAAGAGTTTTAATAGACGCACAGTTCCACATGGCTGGGTAGGCCTCACAATCATGGTGCAAGGTGAAAGGCAAGTCTCACATGGCAGCAGACAAGACAAGAGAGCTTGTGCAGGGAAACTCCCCTTTATAAAACCATCAGATCTTGTGAGACTTATTCACTATCAGAAGAACAGCATGGGAAAGACCTGCCCCCATGATTCAATTACCTCCCACCTGTTCCCTCCCACAACATGTGGGAATTCAAGATGAGATTTGGCTGGGGACACAGCTAAACCCTCTTCTCAGCTACCCTCTTCTCTCTGGATCTGTGAGTAATAAACCTACTTCTGTGATTTCCCATGTTTGGTTCTGTGGCCTCCATGGGTCTGAGCTGACCTACACTGGAACCTAACTCTCCTCCTGGCCAGGGTCTCTGAGAGTGGCTCTTGTCAGAAATACACAGGACACAGGTCAGGCAACAGTCACCAGGCATCTCCTAGTCTCAACAGATGTTCTGTGAGAGGGAGGCCTGGTCGTGGGATGCACATCTGGCCACTGCTGGTGTAAGGAAGTGTCCTGTGAAAGGCACATGTTAAGCATCCACAACCCCCTGACCAGAACCCCAGAAAGGCAGGGCTCCAATTCACAGTCACTCTCCAGAGACAAACCTCAAGCCCTAACTGGAGGAAAAGAAAACAATGTAAAAAGTTGAATTTATCTTACTATTTCAATGATCCAGTAAAGACATTCTATGCCTGTACACCACATATTTTCTTCGATTGTGGATTTATTTTAGATAGAATTTTATGTCTGGCTTTCACTTTAGCCTGGTCCCTACCTCAAGCATAAGGTAAAGATTTTCCATGGGTTCTTTTCTGGTACTACTATCTGCCAGTGTGGGGTCATGTCCTAGTCTATCTTGAGGGAATCCCCCTGTTCATTATTGTCAGAGTGAGACTGTTAAGTCTTGATTTCCCTGGACAACTTCACTGCATAACTTTTAATATGATTTTTTAATATTCCCTTTACTGGACAATAAATTATATAGTTATCAGAGTAAGAGATATGGTCAGGAAGAGGCATTGCCTCATTCAGCTTTTCTCTTTGGTGAACTCGCATATGTTCTCCTCACCCGCCAGTCACCTCTAAACCGTATTGTTCCAAGACAACAAAGAGAACTCGAGTGTGTATCTTTCACCACTGGATTTGTGTTTGCTCCATAAAGCTTCATGCTTAATAGGGTTTCTGTTAGCATTTTCTCTGTTTATTTTCCCATAAAATATCACAGGCCTTTTTCATATGGAATTATGGGTGATTTCCTTCAATTTGCATCATATCAAGTTGAGGTTCATGTTGATGAAAAGTAAAACATACATTGAAAATATCAGTAATGATGTTTTCCCCTCCTTTTTAGCACCAGTGCTTGTGATACAAGCACATTTTAATACAACTGTAGTCTCATGCTTTGATCATTCCTATGATGAAAATAACATTTTTAGATAAAATATCTGAGTTTTATGAGGCCTTTAGTATGTGATGTGATAGAATATCAGAAGACCATACTTTTTTCTAGTTTTCTGTGCAATTCTATCATTGTTTCATCTTTACTCCTACCAGAGTAATTTTCCAAAATAGATATCTTGTCATTCTTCCTCTTGTTATCAGTAAATAAGTGAAATGAAAAGCTAGATTATATAATTTATCTAGAACAAGAAAGTAGAATTGAATCTATATTCATTAATGAGACTAACCAGTCAATTACACAGATAAGCATTTTACATGTTGAAGATCATATGGAACCATTGTCAGAAATATTATTATTTATGTCTATATGGACATCACCTGTACATATTTACACAGAAATCAATGAGAGCTGATTTTTATTTTTATTATATATATTTTTTGAGATAGGGTCTTGGTTTTTTGCCCAGGCTGGAGTGCAGTGGTGCAATCACTGCTCACTGCAGCCTCAACCTCCCAAGCTCAAGCAATCCTTCCACCTTGGCCTCCCAAATAGCTAGGACAACAGGTGCACACCACCATGCCCACTTTTTATTTTTTTAACTTTTGATAGAGACTGGGTCTTGCTATGTTGCCCAGGTTGCTTTTGAACTCCTGGGCTCAAGGAATCCTCTCATTTCAGCCTCTTCAACTGCTGGTATTACAAGCATGAACCACCATATGGGCCGGAAGCTGATTTTTAAAATACTGAGATCATATACATGACAACACCTGAAAAATAGACAACACCAAGCTTTATGTTAAAAGGTGTGAGGGTATCAATATTGTTGTGGCTATTGGGGAGGAAAACATTAGTAAAACCAGTGAGTTAAAGCTGTTGCTTTAAACTTTGGCTTTAATTTAACAAATGTTCTATGGAGTGACAGTATGTATGTAACCATGCTATGCCCATTCACAGATGCAGTAGAGGGAAGAATTTCTCAAAGACAACTGTTCTAAGACTCAAATTAAACTGTACTAGGTTTGAAAAGAGAAATTCCAGGAATTACCAAATATTTTAGATATCAGATAAAAGAGAATGCCAGATATGCGATGATAATCAGCAATGGTTGTTCACACAATACATCAAATCAGTATTTGAATTAGCTTTTGAATTACAAGGACAAATGGACCAAGTCTAGACTCCTTAGTAGATAAATCTTATTAGGCTGAGATGTGTTTTCCCCTGTTTTTCCACAAGGAGATTACAAATTTGCAAACCTCAGCTGCTCTCATTTTATGCTCTCACCAAGCTAAAGCTGAAGTTCATCAATCAGTGTGTCTAAGTGTTCACTGGTTATAGACCATTTTGTAGTTTCAGCTATCTTTCCAACTTCCTAAATCATCACCTTCATTTGATCTTGTTTTTTTCCACTATCACTTCTTTATTGACCATATAAAGAATATAAGTGAGTTCTGATTTTGTTATTGTTCATTTTAGTCTAATTTCATCAAAATATCACAATCTTTTAATTTCATTTTAATTTCAAAGATTAAATGAAACCTACATAGAAATGTGTGTAAGATTTGCATTTGCATTATTTTGGCATCAATTTGCTATCCTCCCTCATGCACACAGAAATCATTTCCACGTATGTGATTTCAAACATCCAAGTGCAGTATTAAAAGCAGTTGTAAATTATGGTTCTCATTTTCATGATACAATTATAATATAAACTTCCTCTTGCTGCTGTAACCAATTACCACAAACTTCATATCTTACAATAAAGTGACCGTTAATCCTACAGTTCTGTAGTTCAGAAGACTTGAATGAAATTCACAGGGCTAACATCAAGTTTTGGGCAGGGCTGCAGTCTTTCTGAGGGCTATGTGGCAGACTCTATTACTTGATTTTTTTCAGCATCCAGAGGCCACCTTTATTCCTTGGAACATGACCTCATTCTTATATCCTATTTTTCTTTTTTTTTTTTTTGAGATAGAGTCTCCTTCTGTCACCCAGGCTGGAGTGCGGTGGCATGATCTCAGCTCACTGCAACCTCTGCCTCCCGGGTTCAAGTGATTCTTCTGCCTCAGCTTCATGAGTAGCTTGGACTACAGGCACTTGCCACCATGCCCAGTTAATTTTTTGTATTTTTAGTAGGGATGGGGTTTCACCATGTTACGCAGGATGGTCTCGATCTCCTGACCTCGTGGTCCACCCACCCCAGCCTCCCAAAGTGCTGGGATTAGGCGTGAGCCACCGCGCTGGGTCCTCATTCTTGTATCTTAAAAGTCAGTGATGTTGAGTAATTTCTCATGCCACCACCTCCAAGGTTGCATTTCTTCTGTCTTCTTCTTTCACTTATAAGGAAGTTTGTGATTTCATTGATCCCACCCATTTAAGACAATCTCTCTATCATTTTTCCGCAACCTTAATTTCACTTGAAATCTAACTTCACACTGCCGTGCAACCTAACATATTTGTATGTTAGACTCTGGGAATTAGGACATGAAAATTTTGGGGAGGCCATTCTTTTGCCTGCAGCAGACATAATCTATTTACCTGCAGATTAAAGCGTTCTTTATTTTTCTGTCTCCCTCTCTTAATTTTTTAAAAATAATATGAATTGTAGTAAAGAGAAAGAAAAGAAAACAAAGAAAAAGAAGGAAGGAAATAAAGAAAGAAGAAAGAAAAGGAGGAGGAAATGAGGGAAGGAAGGGAGGGAGGGAGGAAGGGAGAAAGGCAGGAAGGGAGAAAAAAGAAAACATGAACACAAGAAAGAAGGAAGGAAAGAAAAGAAAGAAAGAGAAAGAAAGAGAGAAAGAGAGAAAGAAAGAAAGGAGGAAGGGAGGAAGAAAAGGAGGAAGAGAGAATGGTAAAAGGGAGGAAGGCAAAGAAACAAAGAAAATAAAGAGGCGAAGGAAGGAAGGAAAAAGAGGAAAGGAAGGGAGGGAGGAAGGAAGAAAAGGAGGGCGGGAGGAAGGGAGAAAAAAGGAAAGAAAGCAACAACGTGAGAAAGAAAGAAAGAATACGAGAAAAGAAGGAAGAAAAGGGAGGGAGAAAGGAAGGGAGGGAGGAGGGAAGGAAGAATAAGAGGAAAGAAAGAAAGAAGGAAAGAAGGAAGGAGAAAAAAGAAAGAAAGGAAAAGAAAAAAGAAAAGAAAAGGAAGAGGAAAAGAAGAAAGGAAGGAAGAAGGCAAGGGAAGGGAAGAGAAGACAAAGGAAGATGGAAAGAAGGAAGACCGCAAACATTAGAAATTCTGTGTTTGTTAGAGAATATGCCATACTGTTTTTTTTTCACTTGAAAGGAAAGAGTAGCTGCCATTGAAGATTGGATGTCTTGTTGGTGATATTGTTGTTCTTATCTTCCACATGATTACTGAGTTTGTGCCTAGTCTTTCCATTACTAAGACAAAAGTGTTGAAGTCTGCAAATATAATTTTGGATTTTTCTAGTTCACCTTTGATTTCTTTCATGTTTTACCTCATGTATTTGGAGGCTCTGTTGTTAGCTGCATACCCTAATTAGTAGGATGTTTACATCTTCTTGAGAATTGATTATTCTATTATCTATTATCTCTCATCTCTGATACTATTTCTTGTTCCGAACTCTGTTGTGTCTAATATCAATGTAGTCCTTCCACAGCCTTATTTTAGTGTTTCCATGATATGGCTTTCTCCATATCTTGATGATAACCTATTTATATCTCTATATATTTGGAGCAAGATATAAAATTTAGACTTGATTTTTTAAAGATTTTTCAAGACGGAATTCTTATTTCTTTTTGTTCTATTTGACATTCTCTGAGTTTCCTATATCTGAAGTTTGATTTTCTGTCACTTCTTTTAGAATATTTTTGGCAGTTATTTTGAAATATATTTCTTTTGCTCCATTATTTTTTCCTCTTTTCTTTTTGGGATTTCAATCATAACTAGAGTAGGCAATTTCATCTCAGTCTTATGCAGGTACATTTTCTCAGGGTCTCAGGAATGTAGCCTTCTCACACTTCTGTTCTTTTCCTGGCTGTGTTGGTGAGCTCAGTGATATTCCTCCTTCACCTTTAAGAGCAGTTTTGTTTTGTTTTTCCTGTTTTCATACTCCCAGCATCAGGAGTATTCTAAGTGTGGCAGTTTTTGTTGCCTTCCCCTACATATTAAGTGGAATATCTTGGTCTATTTGGACCCTTATAACAAAATAACATAAACTGGGTGACTCAAAAACAACAGATATTTCTTTTTTCACACTTCTTGAGGCTGTAAGATCTCAGGTCAAGATGCTCACAAATTCAGTGTTGATGAGAGCCCATTTCATGGATCATAGATGGTGCCTTCTTTCTATGTCCTCACACAGTGGAAGTCACACAAGAACTCCATTGAGCTTCTTTTATAAAGGCACTAATCCCATTCATAAGGGCTCGGCCCCCAAGACCTGGTCACCTCCCAAGTGTTCTGCTCTCCCTGATCTGTGTCATATACAGACTCTCTTGGATTCCTTACCAATTGCTTGAGAGATCACAGTGGGTTTGTGGGGAAAAAGTTTTCAAGATGATGGATCTTTCCCAACTTCTGCAACTGTCAGCGGTCTCCCAATCTCACCAGCCCCACTTTGTCTTTAGGAATTTATTGATTATTCCAGCTTTACTTGTCATAGTGGTGTCTATTTGCATCTGTCCTACGTAAGTGCATCTGTCCTCTTTCTCCTTGCAGGTGCTTGTTTTCCCTCACATTTTGACTCAGTTCTTGGCAACCTGGTTGCTCTAAAAATAAAGTCATGACTTTGAAGTTAGTTTGGTTCTTTCATTGTTGTCAGGTTAGGAACCCTATTCCATCCCAGATCTCCAAAACCCAGACTTTTTGGGGGGTTGAAATGTTAGGCTTTCTCTTTGAATTGTAGTTTTATCTTCTTTCAGTTACCATTTGCATTTTCATAATGATTAATGAGACTAAGCTTTTTTTGTGTAGTTGACTGTACCTTTGGATTTTTTTCCCAAATACCTTTTTATTTCTTCTTTTCTTTATGGTTTTAGAAAATGTAGTTTACATAATTGCAGCTTGATTTGTTACTCAGTTAATGGCATGCTTAATGGAGAGAAAAAATATTAAATATATTTCCCTTTTTAATTACTGTGCTTTTTTCTTTTTTAAGGAAATGTTTCATTATGTTAAATTTCAGTGTTATTCTACTTAGCTATTCCTTAAATATTATAATATTTTGGATTTCACATGTACATTTGTAACATATCTTGAGTTTATTATGTATAGAGTAAGGCTATTTTCTTTTTTAAGGTAAAAATCACATAATATAAAATTAATAACAACCATTTTAAAGCATACAATGCACTTGCTTTTAGTATATTCACAATGTTCCAGGGCAATTTCATCATGTCCCTTCCAAAAACCCATTATGCATAAAGTTGTTACACCCTATTCTGCTTCCCTGAGCCCTAACGACCACTAATCTAATTTATATCCCAATTGATTTGCCAATTCCTGATGTTTCATGTGAATAAAATCAAGTAATATTTGTCCTTTTGTGCACGTAACATAATGCTTTCAAATTTCACCCATATTATAACATATATAAGTACTTCATTCTTTGTTATAGCTGAAAATTGGGTGTCCATTTATGAGTCAACAAGCGTATGGATTGTTTCCACTTTTTGACTGTATGAATATTACTGCTGTAAATATTCATGCACATGTTTATTTTTTGAGCACCTATGTTTTGTAAGATTAACAGCTGACTTAAGAGAAACAATGGAAGGCAAGAGGCAGTAGAATAATATATTCAAAAGATGCAAAGGAAAAAAAACTCTCGGCCACAAATTCCTTATCCAGCAATTATTTTTCAAAAATGAAGATAACACAAAGACTTACCCAGATAAACAGAAATATTAACTGAAGTTGTTGCTGGCAGACCTACCACATTAAAAAAAACGCTAAAATAAATTCCTAAGGCTAAAAGCAAGTCACAGAAGACAGTCACTTGAATCCACATTTTTAAAAAAGTACTGGTATAGGTAACATTGACATTATAAAAGACAGTAAAAATGCATTTTTTCTCTTTATCATAAATTGTTTATTAAATAACATGTGTATAATGGCCGGGCACGATGGCTCACACCTGTAATCTGAGCACTTTGGGAGGCCAAGGCGGGCGTATTACAAGGCCAGGAGATCGAGACCATCCTGGCTAACACAGTGAAACCCCGTTTCTACTAAAAATACAAAAAATGAGCCGGGCGTGATGGCGGGCGCCTGTAGTCCCAGCTACTCGGGAGGCTGAAGCAGAAAAATGGCATGAAGCCGGGAAATGGAGCTTGCAGTGAGCGGAGATTGTGCCACTGCACTCCAGCCTGGGTGACAGAGGGAGACTCCGTCTCAATGATAATAATAATAATATGTGTATAATGTATTGCTGAGTTTTTGACATGTAGAAATGTAATACGTCTATAACATATTTTCCAGTAACATCAAAAAGGAGGTAGTTGGAAGAAAAATGTATTGTGATAAGGTAATCACTCTAGATGGTAAAGTAATAATTACTAAAATGTATTGTTGGCTTTGTAACTTTAATAGATGTAATGTGTAAAGTGATAATACTTTAAAATGGAGGAAATAAAAGAGATTTACATAAGAATGATGTTTCTATGTATTACCAGAAGTTTACTAGTATAAATTGGAAGATGATTTGAATAATTAATTTTCCATATACCTATATGGTAAACTTACAACAACAACAAAAATTCTCAAAAATATATAATAAAATAATTCATTAGTAATCTAAAGTTCCCTATTTTAGAAAATATTCTTTCATTGCAAAATAAAGCAATAAAGAAAAATATTTGAGAAATATATAAAACAAACGGTAAAATGGCAGACATAAATAGAATTATACCAATTATAATCTTAAATGTGAGCAGATTAAAATCCATTCCAGAGGCAGAGATAGTCAGACTGGATTAAAACAAGTGATCCCAATATACACTGAGATGCAAGGATACTAATGGATTGAAAGTAAAAAGATGACAAAAAATATCATGCAAAGAGCAATCATAAGAACACTGAACTCATTATACTCATAACACACAACATAGACTATTAAAAATGTGAATAGGATTTTAAAAATTATATTGTAGAAAAACGGGGGTCAACGCTTTAGGAAGACATAGCTATTACAATCATGTATGCACAGATATGAGCTAAATTGTTTCCTTTATATAGATGCTGAAATTCTAACCACTGAATATGACCTCATTAGGAAATAGGTTCTTTGCAGCTGATCAAGTTAAGATACAATCAGATGAGCCTGAATTCAATATGACTGATGTCCTTATTAAAAGAAGAGATTTGAGTAGAGGGAGACATACACACAGGGAGAGTACCATGTGATTATGAGGACAGAGATTAGCCAAGGAATGCCAAAGACTGCCACTAAACCATCAGAAGCGAGAAACAAGGCACAGAACAGGCTTTCTCTCATAGCCCTTGAAGGGACCATCCCTGCTGACCCCTCAATCTCAGACTTTTAGCTTCCAGGACTATAAGACTATAAATGTATGTTGTTCATGGCACCCAGTTTGTGTTACTTGGTTATGGCAGCCCTAGGAAACTAATACATGAACTAATAACAAAGCATAATAACATGAAGCAAAAATTGACAAAAGAGGAGCATCAGCAAAATGGCAGTGGAGACAGCTGCAATCTTTCATTTCCCCACAGAAACATCACACAACTAAGAGAAACTGTCCAAATAAACTTTGCCAAAACTCTGGAAAACAGTCAAAAGATTACAACAACCGAGTGAAAGCAGACTCAAGAAAAAGACAACTTGAAAACTTTATGACATTTTTAGCTTGCCTTTGCCCCAGCAAATTGGCAGTTTTGAAGTGTCAGAAGCCCACGTTCCCAGTGAGGAACACTGGTCCATGGTCCAAAGGAACAAGAGAAGATCTTACCCGCAAATTACTATGTGTCTGTTCTGACTGGTCTGGGGGATATCTAAAGGACTCATGAAAGGCTTTTGTTTTTCTGTGTTGCTAGAATACAGAACAGATAAGGAATGGACATTATCAAGGAACTCTGCAGGGAGACCTAACAAACCACAGATGCTTAGGGCAAAAATTAGAGTTTACACATATAGTAGATCACCTTCAGCACAGGAAGAAAAGTTGGAGAAGAGTATTTGGAAAACTAAGACATTCAAAATTATTCACGTACATGGGAGAGTCTAGAAAGTCACATGTATGCATAGGTTAAGCCACATGCTGACAAATGTCATAAGAAGACCCTACACTTTTACCTTGGCCGATCCCTCCCCTCAGTGCAAGCTCTGTGCAAGAGTGAACTTGAACTTCACTCAGTGCAAGAGTGAACACACACTTTGTGCCGGCTTTAAAGAACCCAGCACAAAGCCAGTCTGCATGGCCTAGAAGTATATTTTGCTGGACAATGATTACTTGTTTTTCTTTTTGTTTTTGTTGTATTTGCCTCTTTGCTTACTTCCTGACATACAAGAAAATCACTGTCAAAACATTAGCTTAACATTTGTTAAGGAAACAAAAAGACTTCGGTGACCACACCTTATAAAGCAAACAGTTTTGTAAATCACTTTGGAAAATTTCACTAAAAAAAAAATCCTTAACAATATAATAAGTAAAGAAAATTTAAAACCCCAAAACATTACTGTGTTTGTAGGGGAGGGTCTGATTTACAGAGTAACCACATAGTAATTATAATTATTATAATGCCCAGTTTTCAAAAAAAGTTACAAGGCATACAAAGAACGGGAAAGTATGGCTCATTCAAAGGAACAAAACAAACTGACAGAAAATATCTCTAAGGAAACCCAGACTTCAAACTTACTAGACAAAGACTTTAAAACAACTCTCTTAATTATACTCAAATGTCGCAAGGAAAGCATAAACAAAGAAATAAAGGATTCAGAAAAAATATTAAAAAGTAGGAATATCAACAGAGATAGCAGAAATTCTGGAGTGGAAAACTACAATGATAAAAATTTAAAAATCACCAGAGGGATTTAAGAGTATATTTGCACACACAGAGGAAGTCATGAGCTTGAAGATAAGAAAATGGAAAATATTGACTCTGAGAAACAGATAAAAAATGAGCAGAGACTAAGGAATCTGTGGGACATCATCAAATAGACCAACGTTCATATTCTAGAAGGATAAATTATGTTGTTGAAAACTTTAGCATTCTTTCTTTTCACCTTCCTCCCTCTTCCTCCTCCTTTTTACTTTTCTTCCTCTTCCTTTCTCTTCTTCTTTCTCTCCTTCATTATCCCTTTCGCTCTGTTTCTCTTTCTCCCTTTCTCTTTTTCCTTTTCTTTCAATTTTCTCCATTACTAAGAGATGTTTGAATACCCTTACCATGTGAGTTGATATGGTTATTTCTCCATTTAATCCTCTTTTGAGATTTATAGTCTCTCTAAGTAAAGAGATAACCCAAACATAAGCCTCACAAACAGGCTTCCATACCATTCTTAATTTGGTCCTGTAATTCTTCATTGCTGTATTAACTTTCTGATGCTTTTAAGGATGTTTTACAACAAATTGTTTAGTTTTTTCCACTGGAATGTTTATTCTCAATTATCTAATTCATACTGTAAGTATAGAGGGAGTTTAATATAAAATTATTAAACTAATACTTGTGAAAGAACGTATTTGTGCATTTAACAAATATGTTAATCCTCAGACTGTTATTGGGCAGCTGAGCATACAGCAATAAAAATAACATAATTTTTATGTGTACAATATTTATGGAATACGTTACTGGAACAAATAAATAATTTAGTTAATAACATGACAAAGAACAGAAATTGTATGCACTATAGAGCATAGTAATGGAATAATGATTAAAGTTATTAATATTAGGTAGAAAATGAAGGGTATCTTTGAGAGCAGAACTCAAGGAAACAAGCAATTCGCCTTATGAGGAAAGAGTTACCTGTGGATAAAGGAGAAACTGAAAAATTTACAAGTCAAGACTTTTTGTGCAAAAACAAAAATATGATTATTAGTCACCAATTCAGTACAGTGAAAAAAAAGTTGAAGAGATATCTTGGAAGTAAACCATATTGTGGAAGAGCATGTAGGGTTTTGATAATCAGGGGATTATTCTGAATTAATTTTAAATGCGATAGGAATATATGAGATAACTTAACCAGAGAATAACATGATTGTGTTTGCATTTCAAAGGGGTGTATCTTGTGCACCGTGTAGAATAAATAGGTTTTGTGAGCAAATAAATTGGGAGGCTACTCTAATCCAGAGAAAAAAGGTAGTGACTTAGGTGAGAATGCTGTCAGGATGAGTGGTAGTAGTGGTGAGAAGTCATTAGGCCATGGATGTATTTCATAGGACTAGCCAAGAGAACTGCAGCTAAATTGGAGTGTAGGGAGTCAAATGGAGAACTCAAAGATGACTCTCAGCACTGGAAAGTGACACTGAAACATGCTGATGCCTCTTATTAAGAGAGTTACTTGGGAATGGCAAGATCAAAACTTCTCACTTTCAAATTTATGAAAAATATTGTTTTCAGAACGAATGACTTTGGGATCAGAAAGCCATCATTCTAATTGATGGTTCCAAGACTACACGGGCTCACACTCCCAAGAACAAAAGTAAATCATCACAAAGGTGCTTCCTGATAATTCTAGAGAATGGAGAATTACTGTAACATCTTTCTGATTTTAGGAGAGGTAGCAGTTCCCTGTTTAGCCTAAACGCTATTTTTTTTTAAAGCTCAGCCAAGAGACTCCATTATAATTTTCAAATGCGTGTAACTTAAATTCTCATATGAAATACCACTATGCTTAAATTAGTCAAAACATTTTCCCCATCTACAACTCTATCTTTTCATTGCAATCAT
This sequence comes from Homo sapiens, assembly GCF_000001405.40. Classification (NCBI taxonomy): domain Eukaryota; kingdom Metazoa; phylum Chordata; class Mammalia; order Primates; family Hominidae; genus Homo; species Homo sapiens. Next base: position 63,453,161 of record NC_000009.12, on the reverse strand, counting down.
TTTCACAAAAGTGACTGCAGCTCACAGACCCTAAAAGGAGAAAATCCAGGGTAGGTTATCTGATCTAGTTTTGAAGACAGGATCTAGAGATTATTTAATATGAAATAGGTCACCTGAAATGAAGTGTTTCCTGAAAACAGCTTGGATCAGCCCAGTTTTCTACCACTGAACCATGCATTTGGTTTAAAAAACACAACAACTCTGGGGAATATCGGCTGCTTCCAACTGTGTTGAAGGTGTTAAAGAAAAGAGCATAAAAGTAAAAATGATCATCTGAGGCCTTTATAGTCTCTGCTCAAGAGACTAGAGTCTTCCATTCTTAACGAAACACCCAAATATCTTAATAATTGGGCAAAATCTAAATATCAGAGAGATAATTTTATCTTGAAGATTGTTAAATTATAATGGTGATTCACTACCTTGCCACGTCTCTGAGTCAAAAATTAGGTCTTTGTTTAGGAATCAATGGTACTCTGCAACTTGGAAATAGGAAGATTTTAGAAGACTCAAACACTGACTTTCTTGTGTGCAAAAAAAAGACGTATTGAGTTAAGACAAGTCTTTCCTTGCAAGGATACCTCTAATGCTCATACACCACCTCCCCTAACGTTAATATAGCTTCCAGGTCAGTAACCAGTGTCAGAGAGCAGCCCATGCAACTACAAATTCAATAGATGTCGAACACAGGGTCAAGCCTAGAATAAGAAGTCTTAGCTAATTAAGTATGCTTTGTTCCCCAAATTCATATTAACAAAAACTTGGATATGTCAGAGAATGCATTCTAAGTTCACTCAACCTAGGAGGGAGAAACATAATTTTAAATTAAGAGCTGAAGCATTCTTGTCCTAACAAAAAGCAAGGAAAACGAAATATCACACCACAGGAGGGATTTCACAAATTAGTGTCAACATCAAAACCTTAAAATAGGCAAGGAAAATGCAGATTTACAATGAACTCTTGTACTTGTTTTGTTCAGAGAAGAGATGGTTCTGAGAGAATGACAGTGAACTAACCCCAGCTGGTTTAATTGATGCTTTCAACTGCTGCTTCTGATCAACTCCTTCAGCTAGAATAAATTGATGAGGATTTTGGCATGTGGTATTAGAGATGGTTATTAATTTTTTCCTCTTATTTGCATTGTTCAATGTAGTAAATACTAGCTGTATAGGGCTACTTCAATTCAAATTAATTACAATGAAATATACTTAAATATTGCATTTTTTAGTCACTGTTGGTTCATTATTGAATATCTTCAGCTAAGATTTCCCATCTAAATACACTAAGAGGTGGCTTAGTTAACTGGTCGTCCACAAATATTGACGCTGATGTTAACTCCTGATATATTCTCTGCAAATAGAATATTCATGAGCCTCCTCCTGAAATCAGCAGCCTAGAGATAGTTTTATAAATTGGATACAAGTTGGAAATCTATATACTCTTTCAGTGTTTGAAATATTAGCTTCCCAGGGAAGAAAATCAAATTCATAAGCTATGTTAGGACGATTTAACTCAAGATGTTCAAAACTGAAATGACGTATTCTACAATATGTGATAAAACCACCCCCTAACAACTTAAAGCAAAACAGGGACTGACCTTAAAGACCTGCCTTTTCCTCATCCCCCAATCAGTTTTCAAATCTCGCATTTTATTTCAAAAGGTCCTTATCCCCCTAGTCTCTTGTTTCTAGACTCGGCACATATTTAAGTTTGTTACCTCTATCTACTGACATCTTTCTCTTCGAACGGTATCTATGCCTGCCAAATGTGAATATACAAAAAACAAATCAGAATGTGCCATTCTGATTTAAACTGCTTATTAGTTAAAACCCTCAAGATAACATCTGGGTTCTTGGCTGCAATGAGTCAAGCCTACTTACATCTTTTTTTGTCTTTGGCTGCACATTTCCTATCACATCACACTCCAGCAAAGCCAAGCTGTGCCGGCCTTCTACCCCATCTCCACTATCTTGCCCCGCGTCGCCGCGGCTTTTTGACCCTCATCACAGCGGCTCTTTTGCTCTTCGCCGCCGCGGCTTTTGCCCCAACCACCACCTCGGCTTTTCCCCCGCAGCCGCGGCTTTTTCCCCACCGCGGTTTTTTGCCCCCACCCGCCGCCTCGGGTTTATGCCCGCCACGGCTTTTAGTTCCTTGCCGCCGCGGCTTTTTGCCCGACCCGGCTTTTTGCCCCCCGCCGCCGCCGCGGCTTTTTGCCCAACCTGGCTTTTTGCCCACCCCCGCTGCCGCGGCTTTTTCACCCCCGCCGCCGTGGCTTTTTGTCGCCGCGGCTTTTTGCCCCCCCCCGCCGCCGCCACGGCTTTCTGCCCGCCGCGGCTTTTTGCTCGACCCCGGCTTTTTACCCCCCCACCGCCGCGGCTTTCTGCCCCCCGCCGCCGTGGCTTTCTGCCCCCCGCCGCTTTTTACCCCCGCCGCCGCCGCGGCTTTTTGCTCGACCCAGCTTTTTGCTCCCCCCTCCGCCGCGGCTTTCTGCCCGCCGCGGCTTTTTACCACCCGCCGCCGCCGCAGCTTTTTGCTCCCCCACCGCCGCGGCTTTTTCACCCCCGCCGCCGTGGCTTTTTGCTCGACCCGGCTTTTTGCCCCGACCGCCGCCGCGGCTTTCTGCCCGCCGCAGCTTTTTACCCCCCGCCGCCGCCGCCGCCGCCGCCGCCGCCGCCGCGGCTTTTTGCTCCCCCGCCGCCGCGACTTTTTCACCCCCGTCGCCGTGGCTTTTTGTCACCCCCGTCGCCGTGGCTTTTTGTCCCCCCCACCGCCGCGGCTTTTTGCCCCCCGCCGCCGCGGCTTTCTGCCCGGCCGCAGCTTTTTACCCCCGCCGCCGCCGCGGCTTTTTGCTCGACCCGGCTTTTTGCCCCCCCCACCGCCGCGGCTTTTTCACCCCCACCGCCGTGGCTTTTTGTCGCCGCGGCTTTTTGCCCCCCGCATCGCCACGGCTTTTTCACCCCCGCCGCCGCGGCCCCCGCCCGGTTCCGCGGTTATTTGACAGCCGCGGCTTTTTGCACACCCCCCCCCCCCCCGGTGCCGCGGTTATTTGCACGTCGCGACTTTTTGCACCCCCGCCGCCGCGGCTTTTTCCGCGCCACGGATTTTTGTCCCCCGCTGCCGCGGCGTTTTGCCCCCCATCGCCGCGGCTTTTTGCCCCCCCACCATCGCGGCTTTTTGCGCGCCTCGGCTTTTCGCCCCCTGCCGCCGCGGCTTTTTCCCCACTGCGGTTTTTTGCCCCCCCGCCCGCCGCCTCGGGTTTTTGCCCGCCGCGGCTTTTTGCCTCCGCAGCTTTTTGTGCCCCCGCCGCCGCGGCTTTTTGCACCCCCGCCAAAAGCCGCGGCTTTTTGCACCCCCGCCAAAAGCCGCGGCTTTTTGCACCCCCGCCAAAAGCCGCGGCTTTTTGCACCCCCGCCAAAAGCCGCGGCTTTTTGCACCCCCGCCAAAAGCCGCGGCTTTTTGCACCCCCGCCAAAAGCCGCGGCTTTTTGCACCCCCGCCAAAAGCCGCGGCTTTTTGCACCCCCGCCAAAAGCCGCGGCTTTTTGCACCCCCGCCAAAAGCCGCGGCTTTTTGCACCCCCGCCAAAAGCCGCGGCTTTTTACCTGCCGCAGCTTTTTGCCCGCCACGGCTTTTTGCCCCTCGCTGCCACGGCTTTTTGCCCCCCCCCCCCCCCCCACCGCCGACGCGGCTTATTGCCCCCCACCACCGCGGCTTTTTGCCCGACCTGGCTTTTTGCCCGACCCGGCTTTTTGCCCCTCGCTGCCACGGCTTTTTGCCCCCCGCCGCCGCGGCTTTTTGCCCACGGCGGTTTTTTGTCTCCCCGCCGCCTCGGGTTTATGCCTGCCCCGGCTTTTTGCCCTCCGCAACTTTTTGGCGCCCCGGGTGCCGCGGTTATTTGCCTGCCGCGGCTTTTTGCACCCCCGCCGCCACGACTTTTTGCCGCCCGCCGCCGCGGCTTTTTGCCCCGCCGCCGCGCCTTTCTGCCCGCCGCGGCTTTTTACCCCCCGCCGCCGCGGCTTTTTGCCCACCCCCGCCGCCGCGGCTTTTTCACCCCCGCCGCCGCGGCTTTTTCACCCCCGCCGCCGCGGCTTTTTCACCCCCGCCGCCGCGGCTTTTTCACCCCCGCTGCCGCGGCTTTTTTGTCGCCGCGGCTTTTTGCCCCCCGCCGCCGCGTCTTTTTGCTCCCCCGCTATGGCGGCTTTTTGCGCCCCACGGCCCCCCGCCCCGTGCCGCGGTTATTTGCCCGCGGCGGCTTTTTGCCCCCCAGGCGCCGCGGCTTTTTGCCCCCCGCCCCCGTGGCTTTTTGCCCCATGGCCATCCTCAGAAGCGTGAGTGGAACAGAGTGAAGGGAAAGCTGTTTTCTTCGAAAGCTCAAAAATCTTGAACTTTCAAATAGGGATAAGTGTTATTTTTGCTCCAAGCACACATTTGAGAAATCTTCCATTTAGCGGATATGATGATAAACCCACATTTTTTGTTTTAATCTGAAAATGTATTTGTATGGCTCTTGGAAATATTTTTTTTGCATATAAAATTATAGTTTATCATCTTATTTCAAGTTTTATTTACCATTTGATAGTTACTCCTAAAATGTCATTGATTAAAGAATCATCTATTGCTCCAACTGCTCTTTACTAAAGGTAATTTGTCTTTTTAACCTCATCAGGCTCCTTTTAAGGTCTCAAACTGACCTTATATTTTTTTACAGATTGAATGCATTAAGTCCATTTATTATTTATGATGAATTTATTTATGTATTTATTTTCGCTATCACAAGTAGAAAAAGCCTATAAGTTGCTATGCCAAAAACCTGCCTCTAGATGGCAAACAAACCCCGCAATACACAAAAGAGAGCCAAATTCTTAGAAACCCTGGGAAAGGAAGAGGGCTACTGTCCCATTAACAACTTGGAGCCCTTAAGGCAAGAATGAGGTGGACCATCTGGAACATCTGGGAGGAGACACCAGGGTGCGGAGTAGTGGGGAACCTGCTCTGTGCTCTGAGACTGAAAGCCCAGCCTTGCCTCTCACCACTGCCTTGACTGTGTCCCCATCTGCTGTGAAGTGAATGGTGTCTTCTAAATTCATGCTGAGCCCTAATTGCTGAAAAGTGTAAGACATGCAATGGGGGGATTATGTGCATCTTCCTGACACCAACATGATGCTCAGGAAGGAGACTTCTTGTTTTCTCTTAGGATTCTTTTACTAACCAAGATTTTGCCTCTACTGCATATTTCCCTTTGCTGATTGTCCCTCCCTTTTGACAGAAGATGGCCCAGGGCATTCACTACTAAGTCTCAACCTCTTACCCAAAGCCCTCAGTCTAGTGTTGCTCTTTCCTTCATGCTATTTTTGTTTCTTTTCTTGTCATCATCTTGGCAATAAAATAGTCACTTTTTTCTTTCTACCTATTAAAGATGTTACCTTAGTTAATTACAGTGGTTTCCTTCAGAATGATAAATGGTCTTTCAAAATGATGTAAAGAGATCTAAATCCGTGTGCTCCAGAAGTTGAATGAAGCTCTGTCTAGCACGGGTGCCAGTGACTCTCCCAGAGTGCTCCATGCAGCTGGACCCACGGAGTCCCTCTGTGCTGTCATATCACCCACTGCCTTCTGTGAATGAGATATTCTGATTGGAATCCTGGTGGATGCTATTTGAGCCATGCCCCCACAACTCCTATGAAAGCCGAGGACCACAGGCCCCTGAAGACAATCACAGGTCTCTAGACTCACAGCTCATGACCGTCCTCTGCAGACACAGCTTCTCCCCGGATGGCTGAGTTTTGTCATTGGCTGTGTCCTTCCTTGTGCATGACAACAGGAGACATAGAAGGTCTGTAAGCAGCCCTGCAAGCCAGGTTCTGAGCAAGCCCTCCTGTGTGAGGCCCTCTTACCTGGACATAGGTGTGTAAACCAAAAATGAAACTCTAAGCTCCCTAACCAACTGAATGAACTCCTCCTCTCAGCCAAGGACACACCAAAATCAACCTGAAATACAATACAGTCCATGATCGGAACGGATGATTGGATATGCCTTAACTTACCCTCTTCCCTTTAAAATTCAGGCAGAACTGACCAGCTTTTAATATGAAGACAGAGACCTTGAGACTGACAAAGAAAACTCTTTATAGCAATAAGATACCAATGTGACAGATACCACGTCCTAAGAGAAATCAAAGTATTTTCCCCAAGATATTGTTATTTAATGTATTTAAAAATGCCTCTGCAAAGCTGGTTCTTGTGGGAAAAATCTAAATTCTGTAGAGATTCCTTTTTAAGTCTCTTTCCTGACCCAGAGAGATTTAACTAAGAGTTTGGCACCTTTTAAGTCTACTAAAAAACAATTACAATCTATTCTCTCTGAAGCCTGCTACCTGGAGGCTTCATCTGCATGATGCAACCTTGGCTCCAAAACCCTTTTTCTAAACCCAGAAACTCCCTTGTGTTGATTACAGGTCATTAGATAAACTCTTTCAACCACCTATGAAATCTTTGAATCCACCTATGACCTGGAAGTCCCCAATATCCCCCCTCCTTCGGGCTGTCCTGCCTTTCAATATCAAAGCAATGTACAGCTTACACGTATTGATTGATATCTTATGTCTCCTTAAAACGTGTAAAACCAACCTGTAGCCCGACGACCTTTGACACACGTTCTCAAGACCTCCTGAGGCTGTTTCACTGATATTTCTTTAACTTTGACCAAATAAATTTCTAAACTGATTGAGACTTTTCTCAGATGCTTATTTGTTTATAGGTATCACTGGATACACTTAAGGAATTGAAGAGATTTATGACATTGAGAAAAGGAGGAAGCCAGGGTGTGTGGAGAGAGAGAGAGAGAGAGAGAGAGAGAAAGAGATTGTGATGTATGTACAGGACTAACACTGAGACCTAGTTATGTAATGGTGTAGTAATGAGTATCATCCCCAAATAGTGAGGTTTCATTCCAAGAAGACTATGCATGTATCTCATTTGGGAAAACAGCTTTTGCAGGTGTAAATTAAGGAGCTTGAAACAGGGAGATGGTCTTAGATTAATCAACTGGGACTTAAATGCAAACTCAAGTGTCCTAATAAAAACAAGAGGTAGAGAGACATTTAGCATAGACTGAAGTGGAGAAGGCAGTGTGAACACAGAGACAGAGATTGCAGTGATGTGTCCACATCCCGGGAGAGAGAAGCCACCAGAAGCTGGAAGAGCTAAATCAGACTGCTCCCTAGAGCTTCAGAAGGAGCCAGTACTGATGACTCCAAGATCTTAGCCCAGTGAAACTGATCTGGACTTCTGAACTATGAGAGATTCCATTCCTGTTGTTTGAAGCTACCACATTTTTGAGAACTTGTTACAGTAGCCCGAGGACACTAACACAAATGGGGCTCTGGGAAAATCCAGACTAAAGGTGTTGTGTTGGTTTGCAATCTCCTTGCTTAACTTTCTGATACTAGACGTAAATAGATTGGTGAAAAATTTTGTGATTGAAGAAATGTACATGAAACCTACAGTGTACAGAGAAGCATCTGTTAGTTATAAGATAAATATTGATAATTTTAGTTGAAAATGACATATGACTGTTAATATCTCACATAACATTCTGAGTTACTCAAGAATGCATAAAAGGGACACTAGATACTCTTCTCATGTATGTGTGTGTGTCTGTCTATACATGTATGTACACTTCATGGTGTATCAGCTGGCGGAACCCTCAGGACACCCCTTCACATCCTCAGTGCCCCATTTCATACATGAGGAAACTGTTCATGACAGCACATGGCTGATTTGCATAAAAATCACTTGGTCAGCAGTTGTTGAAGCTGAACTTGGAATCTAGGTCTGTCTGACCTTAACTATGTTCCTTCCACAGAGCCACGTTCATTCCATAGAGGAACCCACCACCTATAAAACCAGAAAAGAGACAAAGCCAGAAGTGCAGGGTGGATTTCTTAACACAAGCTCACTGCGACCTCTACTCCTCATCACGCTGACACTAAGCTTAAACCCAGACCCTTCTACAGTTTTGTCTACAAAGCACAATTTGCCCAAAGCCTTTACAAACACCAACAGCCTTTCTTTCAGATATGGCAGAGGGTCACATCTTACACGGCCCTGACCACATTTTGTCTCCTCTGCCATCCCCATCTCTCTGACTCAGTCCTCGCTTGCAGCCATAAAAAAGGATGAGTTCATGTCCTTTGTAGGGACATGGATGAAGCTGGAAACCATCATTCTCAGCAAACTATCACAAGGACAAAGAAACCAATCACTGCATGTTCTCACTCACAGGTGGGAATTGAACAATGAGAACACATGGACACAGGAAGGGGAACATCACACACCAGGGCCTGTCGTGGGGTGGGGGGAGGGGTGAGGGGGGAGGGATAGCATTAGGAGGTACACCTAATGTAAATGATGAGTTAATGGGTGCAGCACACCAACATGGCTCATGTATACATATGTAACAAACCTGCACGTTGTGCACATGTACCCTAGAACTTAAAGAACAACAATAATAATAATAATAATAATAATAATAATAATAATGGGTCTTGTACATCTAATTTGCCCTACAAATGTTAAAACAGCAAACCCGCATCCCCTTCCTCTTCTCATGTGCTGTGAGGGATGACCTCCAGGCTCTCAGATACCAAGATTGTACAAGACCTAACCCAGAGAATTACTCAAGACACTTTCTACGTAAGAAGAATTGTGGTGCTAGCTCTCCTCATAGAAAAATGTTTTCTGTCTCTTGTTGAAATTGACAGCAAACACAAAAACACAGAACTATTTGGGAGAACAGAGGACAGTGATACACTAGGGAAGTAAAACACACCCCTTCCCCTTGCATTGGTTTCCTGTTGCTGCTGTAACAAATTACCACAACCTTACTGCTCCCCATAACACAAGTGTATTATCTTACATTTCTGGAGGTCAGAAGTCTCAATGAAGTAAAATCAAGGAGTAATAGGGCTCTATTCATTCTAGGCTTCAAGAGAGAGAATCCAATATCGAGCATTCCATCTTTCTGATGTTCCCACATTCCTAGCAGCATGGCCCCTTCCTCCATCACTCCAGTTTCCCTGTCCGTTGTCCCAGGTCCTCTCTGGCTGTTACCTTCCTCCTTCCCTATTATAAGGACCCTTGTGATTATGATGGTCTCACCCAGATCATTCAGGATACTCTCCTGACCCCCAAATTCTCAACCATGTCTGCCAAGTTATTTTTGACATATTCATAAGTAATGATCATAGATTCCAGATATTAGGACAATGATGTCTTTAGTGGGTGTATTATTCATTCCACAAACAACCCTCATCATCCACACAATGGTCTTCCCCTAAGGTAGAATAAAAATATCACAAGGCAGATTTACGAGGCGATCGACCTAGAAAAAACCTGAGAATCTAGGACTGTCTGATGTGTGGATGTCAAATCCTGGGAGATTCTGAGTCTCTGCTCTATGTGGACTCTATGTTGTGTAGCCATTTGTGGAAGGCTTCTGTGATTTTGTGACCTAGAGAAAATGAATCTCTGCTAAAATCAAATCTAAGAAAGATTGGCAAAGGGAATTTAAAGATTTCCTAAATTTTTGGAATTTCCCTATGCATTAAAGCATGAGAAGTGGCAATAATTCAAACCAATGATGCCCTCCAAGAATGAGGATTTTTCCAATGCATTAGGTTGGGTCCCCTCAGTGAGAAGGATGCCAAAGATTCGCATGCAGGCAGTATATTTACAAAGTGCAGGAAACAAGCAAATGAGCAAGGGAGGGGAGGAGGGAAAGGGAAAGTGAAAGGTGCCTCAGAAGGAGCCACCTCTGAGGATGACGAGAGCTCAAGCCCACATAGAAACACAGGAAAAATGCCTCTGTTATTCCACCTGAGAGGTGAGGGAGCTGCGGGATGTGTACACCTCCCTTGTCATCACTGATTGACAGCCGTCCTAGGGGATGCTAATTCCAGGCCATGAGGTCTGCCTCATTTGCAGCCTGAGCTGCTTCCCCAGGTTCAGACAGAGCAGTGAAGGGGAGAAAGGGCCATAGAGAGTCAGCTGAAGTATAATGACTAGAATCCCCAAGGCGTAGTAACAATGACTGCTAAAATTATGCACAAAGAAAAAGCGCATTTGAATCCAGAGATGTATCTCTCTGAATCTGGATATATGGATCCTGGCAGCCTGTTCAGTAGCCATTTCCCAGAAATCCAGTTCTCTGGAAAAGCAGCAGGAGGTTTGTGCACAGGCTGCACTACCTTGGTCTGGCCACTGGTAGTCGTGCATGAGAACTACTTCCTGGAGTATTTCTCAGTCCACTGACACTGATGTAATTGGCTCCACTTCCCCTGCTGTTGAGCCAGGCCGACACGCCCTGGGCAAAGGCATCTGTGTGAAGTATTGAGGTTCAAATCAGTGCTTAAGATATGTTTGGAGGCAAAATACTTTTTCATCTACATGGGCAGTGTCTTGGCAGAAGATGGAGATTCTCTCTAAATGGATGTGAGACAGGGTGGCTGGCATCTGGGTCAGGATGATGCCCTGGTGCATGGCAAGAACATGCATTGGGCAGCAGCTGCCCTCGCTAAGCAGAGAGGTTCACTGACCTGGCTTTTCCCCCCTCACCTGCTCTCCAGAAAGCCAGACTCTAGGGCAGATGCTCCTGAGACCCCAGGAACAGGCTGGTGGGGAGCGCAGCTCAGAGCATTACTCAAGGGATGTGGCCTTTGTCATCCTACTTTGAAACAATTGATTATTTGAGCCTACATTGATAGAGGGCTTCAAGTTGATTTTAATCCTGGCTCCTATAGTCCGCGAGTGAAACAGAGATTTTGAAATAATGAGACCTGGTATTACTAGTCAGCTCTCCATGCTGGAGAACCATAAGAAATTATACCAAAGGCAGGAAAGGGGATAGAATATGGGGATCATCACGCCAAGAATAAGGTGCAGCCCATTTAGCCCCTGGGTCTTAAAGAGACCCATAGCTCTGGATAATGGCAGATCTATGCGTGACACATTATCATCTTTGTGCATCTTCAGAGAATTGTTTTTCCTTTTACTCCTAGGAACAATGTCTTAAGTTTGTTAGTAAATTCTATTGAATTTATTAAAGATGCTTCTGATAAATTCTTTTTATATTCATTTCAAAAAAGAAGCAATTTCACACTGACAGAGACATTGTTATTATAGCACTAAATACTTTTACACTCATCAAATTCCTTTGAGACTAACTGAAATTTCTGACAGCCCCACACTCTATAACTTTATTGTAAATTTTCTGCCAAAAATGATGCTTTCCTATACACTCTTAATACAAGTATAAATATATTATTTAATCTAGTCTTAGGTTGATTTAAAATTTTGAAAATTCACTCCAAAAATATGTTCTGTAACCATATGGCCACCAATGAGAAGTGTACTCTTTCAAGGTAAATCTGTGCTGCCCTGGTCTGACCTGGGACTCTGGGGATACTGCGCCCGTGTGCTGAGTTACTGAGATGAGCCAGCCCTGCAGCTGTGCTCAGCCTGCCCCATCCCCTGCTGATTTGCCTGTTCCTAGAGCACAGCCCCCTGCCCTGAAGACTTCTTATAGGCTGGCCACACCTGGTGCAGGAGTCAGCCCCAGTCAGGACACAGCACGGACGTGAGGGCCCCCACTCAGCTCCTGGGGCTCCTGGGGCTCCTGGGGCTCCTGGGGCTCTGGCTGCCAGGTAAGGAAGGAGAACACTAGGATTATACTCGGTCAGTGTGCTCAGTACTGTCTGGAACTTCAGGGAAGTCCTCTGATAACATGATTAATTGCAAGAATATTTGTTTTTATGTTTCTAACTTCAGGTGCCAGATGTGACATCCAGATGACCCAGTCTCCATCCTCCCTGTCTGCATCTGTAGGAGGCAGAGTCACCATCACTTGCCGGGCGAGTCAGGGCATTAGCAATAATTTAAATTGGTATCAGCAGAAACCAAGGAAAACTCCTAAGCTCCTGATCTATGCTGCATCCAGTCTGCAAAGTGGGATTCCCTCTCGGTTCAGTGACAGTGGATCTGGGACAGATTACACTCTCACCATCAGCAGCCTGCAGCCTGAAGATTTTGCAACTTATTACTGTCAACAGAGTGACAGTAACCCTCCCACAGTGTTACAAGTCATAACATAAACCCCAAGGAAGCAGATGTGTGAGGCTGGGCTGCCCCAATGCTCCTTCTGGTGCCTCTATCTGCTGAGGGAAGTTCTCAAACTCAGTCAGGTTTGGAAAGTCATCGGGAGATTTTCCTAGAGGAGGCCAGGGAGGTTCCTCTGAACGCTAAGCCTCTTTCGCCCTCATCCCCAACAGAAAAGACGTGACAATGCCTGTCCTGACTGAATAAAGAAGAGAGATAAGTCCAGCTGAGGAGTCTGTGTTATGGGATAATCGGAATTTGTACAGCAAAAGAGAAGCTATTCTCAGTATTTCAAGGAGAAATTATTCAAGTTGAATAAATTAGAGTCTAAACCACAGTCTTTCCGAAGCCTATGGAGTGTTATTCATGAAGCAGGTACTAGACACAGGGGATTCTCAGGTGCTACTTCAGAAGCCAGGATGCACCTGCCCCTGGTGGTATGTGCTGAACACCGTGTGATGATCCTCAGTCCTGTCTGGGAAGCCCAGGGCTGGGGGTGCTGATGCTCTCAGCTGCCTGCAGCACATCTCCAGGTGATTCTCCAGTCCACACCTAACTGCATGTGTTTTACTTCAGGTGTCAGTGTACATGAATCCACCACTCTGACTTCCCAATCTCATGACAGTAATTAGTTGTAACTTATCGTAACCTCATGGAGCAACTCTAAAGAAACCATAGAGAGAAAAGGAGTTTTGGAAAATGTGCTCCCGGAAGTGATAGTAATGATGGGGAATTGACAGCTGACGGGGAAGTAAGGTGACTCTTTCCACAAGGCTCAACATTTTGCCAGTTATGAATTGTTGTAAAATACATTTGAATGTGCTTTCAAGTACTACCAGTTTGGGGTCATAGCTGAAAAACTTTATTAAGTCACAGATAAAATGGGAAAATCAGGAATATTTTATATTGTATGAAATATACAATAACACTGTGTGTGATGGCTCAGGTCTGTAATCCTGTGATAGTTAATACTGATTGTCAACTTGATTACATTGAAGGATGTAAGCATTGCTCCTGGGTGTGTCTGTGAGGGTGTTGCCAAAGGAGATTAATATTTGAGTCAGTAGTCTGGGGAAGGCAGACCCCTACTTAATCTATGGGCACCATTTAATCAGCTGCCAGTGAATATAAAGCAGGCAGAAAAAAGTGAAAAATTGAGTCTGGCCCAGCCTCCCAGCCTACATCTCTCTCCCGTGCTGGATGCTTCCTACCCTTGAACATCGGACTCCAAGTTCTTTAGTTTTGAGGCTCGAGCTAGCTCTCCTTACTCCTCACTCCTCATGCCTGCAGACAGCCTACTGTGGGACCTTGTGATCCTGTAAGTTAATATGTAATAAACCCATATATATATATATAGAACTTATTAGTTCTGTCCCTCTAGAGAACCCTCATTAATACAGATTTTGGTACCAGGAATGGTTCTGCAGGATCAGAATATTAAGGTTGGAGTTCTTTTGTTGGTTTTGGGGTTTCTGGATTTGGCTGCTAAATATGATTAGATCCCAAAATGCTAAGGACTCTACTTTTAATAGTGTAGAGAATATTGACAGTTCTTGGCATGAAAGGTTTAAAGAGCTACGCAAAACAAATTCATTTGACACTAATGAATCATCGCTCATGAGAGGCAAGGAGTTTAGTGACTCTGTACCTAATACCCTTGACAAACACCTTGCAAAACAGATTTGTGAGGACAGCACCTGCATCTTTGAAGAGCCCTGTAAAGGCTCTTCTCTGTATGTCAGATCTAATGGTGAGAACTGCAGTCACTCAGTTACAAAAGTTAAATACAATTTGGAATAATTGGATCCTGAAGTGGCAGGGGCCAAGTGGTAGCACTCAACCCTCAAAGGCACGGTGGGCATAGCTACCGTAATGGGCAGAAAAGACAAAGCAGCAATCTGAACAGTCTGACTCATGTAGAGCTCTGGCATTGGCTAACTAATCACAGTGTTCCTGGAAGTGAAACTGACAGGAAGACTAATGCATTCCTACTTAATTTATGTAAGGAGGAAACTTAAGGTCAAACAGATAAAAGACTAACTGGAATCATAAAAACAGAGATTCATGGCCCCTCAATCAATTTCCAGCCTTGAGCCAGTTTACAGACCCAGAACCCCTTGAATGAAGGGGAGGCTGGGTCCCCCTGAGGTGTCCATGGCAGATAGGAATGCTGCTTTGAGGCTTTGGCAGGCCTCCATAGGTGAATCATGGTGGAGGCCTCTAGTATTTTGCAGCAAGGCCCGGTCATCTTCTCCAGTTAACTACTCTCCTTTTGAGAGACAGCTCTTGTCCTATACTGGGCTTTTGTGGAAACTGAACATTTGACTATGAGTCAACAAGTCACTATGCGACCTGAACTGCCTATCGTGAACTGGGTGCTTTCTGACTCATGTAGCCATAAAGTGGGTCATGCACAGCAGCATTCCATCATCAAATGGAAATGGTGTATAAGTGATTGGGCTCAAGCAGGTCCTGGGGGGCACAAGTAAGTTACATGAGGAAGTGGCTCAAATGCCCATGGTCTCTACTCCTGCCACCCTGCCTTCTCTCCCATGGCCTGCACTGATGACCTCATGGGGACTTGCCTTTGAGCAGTTGACACAGGAAGGGAGGACTAGGGCCTGGTTCACAGATGGTTCTCCACAATAGGCAGGTACTGCCCAAAAGTGGACAGCTGAAGCACTACAGCCCCTTTCTAGGACATCCCTGAAGGACAGTGGTGAAGGACAATCTTCCCAGTGGGCAGAACATTGAGCAGTGCACCTGATTGTGCACTTTGCATGGAAGGAGAAATTTCAGATGTGCGGTTATATACTGATTCATGGGCTGTAGCCAATGGTTTGGCTGGATGGTCAGGGACTTGGAAGAAGCATGATTGGAAAATTGGTGACAAAGAAACTTGGAGAAAGAGTATGTAGATGGACCTCTCTGAGTGGTCAAAAACTGAAGATATTTGTACCCTGTGTGAGTGTTGACCAACAAGTGACTTCAGCAGAGGAGGATTTTGATAATCAAGTGGATAAGATGACCCGTTCTGTGGATACCACTCAGCCTCTTTCCTCAGACACCCCTGTCATTGTCCAATAAGCCCATGATCATAGTGGCCATGGTGGCAGGGATGGAGGTTATGCATGGATTCAGCAATGTGGACTTCCACTCACCAAGGCTGAACTGTCTGTGGCCACTGCTGAGTGCCCAATTTGCCAGCAGCAGCAGAGACTAACAGTGAACCCTTTGTATGGCATCATTTCCTGGGGTGATCGACCAGCTACCCGGTAGCAGGTTGATCATATTGGAACTCTTCCACCATGGAAAGGAGAGAGGTTTGTCCTCATTGGAACAGGCACTTACTCAGGATATGGGTTTGCCTACCTGCATGCAATGCTTCTGCCAAGACTACCATTTATGGACTCAAGGAATGCCTTATCCACTATCACGGTATTCCACACAGCATTACCTTTGACCAAGCACTCACTTTACAGGTAAAGAAGTGAGGCAGTGGGCTCATGCTCACGGAATTCACTGGTCTTACCATATTCCCCATCTTCCTGAAGCAGCTGGATTGATAGAATGGTGGGACGGCCTTTTGAGGTCGCGATTACAACATCAACTAGGTTGCAATACTTTGCCGGGCCGGGGCACCATACTCCAGAAGACCATGTGTGCTCTGAATCAGCGCCCAATGTATGGTATTGTTTCTCCCATAGCCAGGATTCACAGATCCAGGATTCAAGGGGTGGATGTGAAAGTGGAACCACTCACTATGATGCACTAGCAAAATGTTTGCTTTCTGTTCCCACGACATTAGGTTCTGCTTTACTAGTCATCTTAACTCCAGAGGGAAGAACGCTGCTACCAGGAGACACAATAACGATTCCATTAAACTGGAAGTTAAGATGGCCACTTGGATGCTTTGGGGTCCTCCTACCTTTAAGTCAACAAGCTAAGAATGGAGTTACAGTGTTGGCGGCAGTGATTGACCCAGACTATCAAGATGAAGTCAGTCCGCTACTCCACAATGGAAGTGAGGAAGAGTATGCATGGAATATAGGAGATCCATTAGGGCGTCTCTTGGTATTATCATGCACTCTGATTAAGGTAAATGGGAAACTATACCCAATCCAGGTAGGACTACAAACGGTCCAGATCCTCTCCGGGTCACAACCTGCTGAGGTGCTTGCTGAAGGCAAAGGGAATACAGAATGAATAGTGGAATAAAGTAGTTATCAATACCAGCTACAACCACCTGACCAGCTGCAGAAATGAGGACTGGAACTATCATGAGTATTTCCTTCTTTTGTTAAAAACATGTTTGTGCATGTATGCACTTGTACTAAGAAAATATCTTCATTTCATTTCCCTTTTCTTTATCAGGTGACATAGATTTGCTGACCTCATATCAGCATTTAAGTATTGTTTACTTTATGTAAGAGTATTTGGGTTGGGGATGGGTGCATTTCCAGTTGTAGGAAGGATAGTTTATTATGTTAGGGGTAATTATGACCTTACTATTGTCTGTATTTTAAGATTATGTATGATCTCAGGAGATGTGTGTGGGTTCAAGTTCACAAGGGGTGGGCTTGTGATGGTTAATAATGAGTGTCAACTTGATTGGATTGAAGGATGTAAAGTATTCATCCTGGGTGTGTCTGTGAGGGTGTTGCCAAAAAAAATTAACATGTGAGTCAGTGGGCTGGGAAAGGCAGACCCACCCTTAATCTTTGTGGGCACAATCCAATCAGCTGCCAACCCAGCCATACTATAAGCAGGCAGAAAAATGTGAAAAGAGACGGGCCTCACCTCCCAGCCTACATCTTTCTCCCATGCTGGATGCTTCTTGCCCTCGAACATGGACTCCAAGTTCTTCAGTTTTGGAACTCTGGCTGGCTCTTTTTGCTCCTCATCCAGCAGATGGCCTATTGTGAGACTTGGTGATTGTGTGAGTTAATACTTAATAAACTTCCTGTATTAGCCAGTGACATCTAGAGGGACAGAACTAACAGGATATATACATATATATATACATACGCACACACATACATATATATGCACACACACACACACACACATATATATTTATTTATAAAGGGGAGTTTATTAACTTACAGGATCATAAGTTACACAGTGGGCTGTCTGCAAACTGATGAGAAAGGAGAGCCATGGAGTCCAATGTTTGAGGGCAGGAAGAAACCAGCATGGGAGAAAGATGTAGGCTGGGAAGCTAGGCCAGTCTCTCCTTTTCAAATTTTTCTGCCTGCTTTATATTTGCTGGCAGCAGATTAGATTGTGCCCACCAGATTAAGGGTGGGTCTGCCTTCCCCAGCCCACTGACTCAAATGTTAATCTCTTTTGGCAACACTCTCACAGACACACCCTGGATCAATACTTCATATCCCTCAATCCTATCAAGTTGACACTCATTATTAACCATCTCACTCCCCTTCATATATATATGTATATAGTCCTTTAATTCTGTCAGTCTAGAGAACCCTGACTAATACATCTACACTTCTGATGATCTATTTCTTTTATTTTAGGTCATTTATTTCCCCTGGGTTGCCTACACTCGCTTCTTCCCACTCCCCTATGAAGGATAATATAAGCCTCTGGACCTCACTAGGTCAGGGCATGTCCCTGCTTGCACTATCCATGACACTTTCCTCTTTTACTCTTTAGCAATGAGGGAATGTCATCCTTACCCAGATGCCAGCCACCTGTCTCACATCCAGGACAGAGAGTCTCCATCTCCCCTCCAGCAAATACCCATGTATGTGGGCATGGTGGCATGCCCCTGTGATCCCAGCTACTCCATAGGCTTAGGGGGGAGAATCACTTGTGCTTGAGAATTCAAGGTTGCAAGGAGCCATGATCACACCACTGCACTTCATGCTGGGTAACTGAGTGAGACCCTGTGATTTTTCCCCTACATTTTACAGAATTTTTTTTTGCCTCTTTCTTCTATTAATTTATGTTTTGTCCATTCATTTTCTGCAAACCTTCAGAGGGCAAATAGGAAGTTTCCCTTTTTAACGTGGTGGCTCACGCCTGTAATCCCAGCACTTTGGGAGGCCGAGGTGAGCAGATCACCTGAGGTTGGGAGTTCGAGACTAGCCTGACCAACATAGAGAAACCCCGCCTCCACTAAAAAAAATACAAAATTAGCAGGGTGTGGTGGTGTGCACCTGTGATCCCAGCTACTCAGGAGGCTGAGGCAAGAGAATTGTTTGGACCTGGGAGGCGGAGGTTGCAGTGAGCCCAGATTGTGCCACTACACTCCAGCCTGGGTGACAAGAGCGAAACTCCGTCTCAAAAAAAAAAAAAGAAACAAAAACAAACAAAGAAAAAAACACCTACTGCCTCACTGAATTAAAGGTGTGTTCAGCAGTTTCTTTGTTATTTCGAAGAGTGTCATCTGCTTCAGCAGGGTCAGTTTTTAATGTATTTGTTTTGTTTCTTTTTTCTCTGTCTGGTGTTGTTTTCTATTTTATTATAATTTTTTAAATTTGAGGGATGAGGTTTTCATAGCACTGAATATCAAACAATGAATCCGCATGAATGATTCACCTAATTTCCTTGGTTTTAGTCCTCTATACAGGTTTTATATAGCAAAAGAACCATTTAAAGACTTGGGTTACAAATGTATTTTATTTTACCTCTGGCATGCCTTGGGCTGAGAAAGCATTATATGGTGGCGCAGTATTTGTAACATTCTCATAGCCATCTGGCGGTGGTTCAAGGTATGACACTTTGAAAATCTAGCAAGAATTAAAATATGTCAAGTTAGAGATAAAAATTCCAGATTATTATTAAGATATAATTCATTTTGCCCCAAGTATATACTTCAGATTAAGCATCCTGGAACTAGGTTCTATAATTAAATAGATAAATTACACTGACAACAATGAGAAAGAGCCTTATCATTATTATTGTCTTCCTAATAGAAACTTTTATAAATGCATGCAATCCCAGGTAACCAAAAGTTTCCTTATAAAGTGTAACAGCAGAGCTTCAAAGGTGGCATTTGGCAAGCCCCTTTTTTTGACTATGCCTTTTCAGCTTCCTTTGTGGGTTCCTTTTCTTTCATCTTTATTTAAATAATATTTCCCTATGTTTTATCCCCAGCCCATTGCTTGCCTCTGTACTGCCTCCCTGCGAGACTTCATTAAGTATCAGAATTTTACCAATAGCTCATATGCTTATGATGCTTACCTTTTCAGATTCGTATATTTAAATGTTTTGTGATTATTTCATCCTGGATGTCCAAACTCAACATGTTAAAATTCAAATTTATCATCTCTCACCCCGGGCCTGCTTTTGGTCTGCATTTCCTACCTCTATTAATAGCTTCAGTTATTAGCCACCGACACCAGACAGTCTCGGAGTCATCCTGAACTCTATCTTCCCCTCCTTCCCCAAGTCAATCACTAATCAAGTCCTGCTAATACATTTCCTTACTATTTCTGAAATCCATCCCTCTTCCTCATTCCTACTAACATCCTAATTTAAAACTTTATTATCTTTTACCTGGACTATTGTCTTAAGACAACAACTTTAACCCGTTGCTTAGCCTAGGTGTAATCCACAGAGGATCTTGTCTGTCTAAGATGCCCCTCTAGCCACATCCTTCCCCTGCTCAGATCTTGTCATTGGCTCCCATGAACTGAAGTTGAAGTTTAAGCTCCTTAGGACAGCATACACGCCCTTCTATGATCTGTTCCCAGAACATATTTACTGGTTTATCTCATATCATGGCCCACTTTGTATTTTACACTTTTGAAATACAGAAAATCATTACATTCTCCCAATAATACTAAGCTAGTATATGCCTAAAAGCCTTTGCCAATATTTTGTCTTTTGTTGAGAATTCTCTTAGCTTATTTTGTCACGTGGTTAACTCCTTATGTCCTTTCACGACTCACATGTCAAGACTTCAGGAAACCTTCTCTAACTCCCAGGCTGGGCTGAGTGACCCTTTTCTGGGTAAATAATGAACTCTAATCATACTCTTCATAGCACTTACCATACTAATTTGAAGTCTGAAGTATTCCATTTTCTGCCTCAGTTTACTTAGGCAAAGGAACCATGTCCTAGTCTCATTCTGGCCTCAGGACTTCAGCCTGGGCGACAGTGGGAGACTGTGTGTCAAAAAAAAAAATTGCCAATGATTGAAGCCTAATACTGAAGATTCTGGTTTATTAATAATTAGTCTGTTGCTGGGTGTTAATTGAGCTCTCCAAGTGATTACTCATGTAGGACTTCAAAACGATAATTTAGAACCTTGTGACTAAAAATCTGGGCAAAAATAAGCAGCATCAGTATCACCTGGGAGCAGCTTCAGGTCTCACTTTAGATTTACTCTGAATCTAAATATTATATTTTTATTAAAAAAATTAAGAACAGATGACAATCTTCAACTACATCTAAATTCTTTAGATTTACTTTAAAAGAATCAACATTTTGACACAATACCAAAGTGAACTAAATTCGCTTTTTTTTTTTTTTTTTTTTTGAGACAGAGTCTTGCTCTGTTGCCCAGGCTGGAGCGCAGTGGTGCAATCTCGGCTCACTGCAACTTCCACCTCTCCAGTTCAAGCGATTATCTTGCCTCGGCCTCCAAAGTAGCTGGGATTACAGGCACATGCCATCATGCCCGGCTAATTTTTGTATTTTTAGTAGAGACAGGGTTTCACAATGTTGGGTCAGCTGGTCTCGAACTCCTGACCTCAAGTGATCTGCCTGCCTCGGCCTTCCAAAGTGCTGAGATTATAGACATGGGCCACCATGCCCAGCCTAAATTTGCTTTAATTTGGAGAAGTACTGGTCTAGAAAACACAAATTCCAAGGAGACTCAGGTTCTTAAGTTGATTTCTTGAGTACAAGTTCTTCAAATGCATTCTCCAAGATTAATTTTTTTTTTTACTTTTTAAATTGACAAAGATTATACATATTCATGGCTATACGGGGATGTTTCAGTACATGTAGATGGTGATCAGATCAGGGTAATTAGCATATCTATCATCTCAAACATTTATTATTTCTTTGTGTTGGGAACATTCAAACTACTCCTAGGTATTTTAAACTACATAATATAGTATTGTTAACTATAGTCATCTACAGTACTATAGAACACTAGAACTTATTACTCCTACCTAGCTGTAATGTTGTATCCATTAACAAATCTCTTACCATTCCTCCTTTCTCCCTACCCTTTTCAGCCTGCAGTATCCTCTGTTCTACTTTTTACTTCTATGAGATCAACTTTTCTTTAGCTTCTGCGTGAGTGAGAACATGTGGTGTTGAAATTTCTATTCCTGGCTTATTTTGCTTAACATAATATCCTCCAGTTCCATCCATGTTGCTGAGAATGACAGGGTTTTATTTATTCTTTTTTATGGCTAAATAGCATTCCTTGGTGTATATATACCGTATTTTAAAAATCCATTCATCTGTTGTTGGAAACCTAGGTTGATTCCATATCTTGGCTATTGTGAACACTGTTGCAATAAACATGGGGATGCAGATGTCTCTGCAATATAATGCTTTTCTTTCCTTTGGATAAATTCCCAGTAGTGGGATTGCTTGAGGTGTTTCAATACTGTTCTCCATACTGGCTGCTCTAATTTACATTCCTACCAACAGTGCATAAGAGTTCCTTTTTCTCCAGCTACTCAGGAGGCTGAGGGAGGAGAACTATTTGAACCCTAGAAGCAGAGGGAGCCAGATTACACCACCACTGCACTCCAGCCTGGACGGAGAGTGAGATTCTGTCAAAAAAAAAAGTCCCTTTTCTTCACGTCTTTGTCAGCATTTGTTATTTTTGTCTCTTCTATAATAGCCATCCTAACTGGAGTAAGATGATGCCTCACTGTGGCTTTGATTAGCATTTCCTTGCTGATTAGTGGTGTTGAACATTTTTTCATATATTTGTTGGTCATTTGTATGTCTTCTTTTGAGAAATGTCTGTTCAGAGCATTTGTTTATATTTAATTAGATTGTTGTGCTTCTTTGCTGTTGATATGTTTGAATTCCTTGTATATTCTTGATATTAATTTCCTGCCAGATGAGTTTATACTTTCTCCCATTCTGTAGGTTGTCTTTTCACTCACTTTCTTATTTCCTTTGCTGTGCAGAAGATTTTTAGCTTGATGTGATCCTATTTGTTTATTTTTTCTTTTGTTGCCTGTGCTTTTGATGCCTTATTCATAAAATATTTTCCCAGAGCAATGTCCTGAAGGATCTCCCCTATGTTTTCTTCTAGTAGCTTTACCATTTTGGGTCTTATATTTGGGTATTTGAGATACTTTGAGTTGATCTTTGTATAGGGTGAGAGGCAGAGGTCTAGTTTCATTCTTCTGCATATGGATATCCAGTTTTTCCAGCACCATTTATTGAAGAGACTATCCTTTCCCCAATGAGTGTTCTTGGCATCTTTGTAAAAAATCCGTTGGCTGAGATATGTGGATTTTCTGGGTTCTTTATTCTATTCCATAGGTCTATGTGTCTGTTTTTATGCCAATACCATGATGTTTTGGTTACTACAGTTTTGTAGTGTATTCTGAAGTCTGGTAGCATGATACATCCAGCTTTGTTCTTTTTGCTTAGGATGGCTTTGGCTATTCAGGATACTTTTTGATTCCATAAAATCTCTTTGGATTTTTTTTTAATTTTGTGAAGAATGTTCATAGGTATTTTGATAGAGATTGCATTGAATCTGTAGGTTGCTTTTGAGTAGTACTGTCACTTTAACAACATTCATATTTCTGATCCATGAGTATGAATGTCTTTTCATTTGTTTGTATCCTCTTCAATTTCTTTCATTAGTGTTTTGTAGTTTTCATTTTACCTCCTTGGTTACATTTATGTCTGGGTTTTTTTTTTTTTTGGTAACTATTGTAAATGGGTTTGCCTTCTTAATTTCTTTTTCAGCAAGTTTGTTGTTCATATATATAAATGCAACCAATCTTCGTGTATTAGTTTTGTGTCTTGCAACTTCACTGAATTTGTTTGTTCTAAAAGTTTTCTGGTAGTCTTCAGGTTTTCCTATATATAACATCATGTCATCTGCAAATAGGAACAATTTGATGTCCTCCTTTCCGATTTGAATGCCCTTTATTTCTTTCTCTTGTCTAATTACTCTTGATAGGACTTCACATTTATATACTTTGAATATTTAAAATGTTTACATAAATGTCAGAATCAACTTTCATTTTTCATAGAAAAAGAAGATCCTACTTGTTTTGTAGTTTTAATATTAATCAATTATTATTATCTGAGACAAATTATTAACAAACCATCTATTAAAATATTTCACCACAAATAAATTCCATAAGGAAAATATCTACAACTGTTTTTATGAAAGAAAAAAAGGCTTCTCTACAGTTGCTTAGGCCTGGTGCCATGGCACACACCTATAAATCCCAGCGCTGTGGGAGGCCATGGCAAGAGGATCCTTTGAGCCCAGGAGTTTGAGACCAGCATGGACAACAAAGTGAGACCTCATCTCTACAAAAAATAAAAAAGAAATTAGCTGGCCATGGTGGTGCGTGCCTGTGGTCCTAGCTACTCGAGAGGCTGAGGAAGGAGGATCACTTGAGCCAGGGAGGTGGAGGTTTCACTGAACCATATTCACGCCACTCCACTCCAGCCTGGGCAACAGAGCTAGACCTTGTCTCAAAAAATTAAGTTAGTTAAATTAAACATAAAGTTGCATTGTACTTAAGAAATTGGGAAAGCAGAAAATGCTTCTGTTTTTCTTTTGAGTTGAACAATGAGAACACATGGACACAGGGAGGGGAACATCACATACCGGGGCTTGTCAGGGGGGTGGGAGGCTAGGGGAGTGATAGCATTAGGAGAAATACCTAATGTAGATGATGGGTTGACGGGTGCAGTAAACCACCATGGCATGTGTATACCTATGTAACAAACCTCCACGTTCTGTACATGTATCTCAGAACTTAAAATGTAATAATAACAATAATAAAAACCTCAAAAAAAGGAAATGCTTCTTCTTAGAACAGATTACATACCCTCATTGCTTTTTATAATAGCCTGTAATAACAGAATATCCACAAGGTGGCAGTAATATATCAGTTTCATCCTCTGAAATTAAAACTTTTGCCTATTCAGTAATACAATGGATCTTTTGAACTCACTCTAACACGTAGAATACAGCAATTTGACTTAATAATTAGCCTTTAAATTTATAGTCTTGTATTATCACTTTAGTAGATTATTTTGTATTTTAATATATTTAAATGAATTAGTCCTATAGAAATTGACTAATTTGACATGTGAAGGTGTTTTTATTCTATTTTCAGAAGTTTAGCTTTAAAAAAATTTCTAAACTTCGATATCTGGTGAGTGTCAATGTTTTTATCTTATTAAAAGCTGACAGACCACACTATATTCAACTGATTTTTTTTTTAACAAGGATGCAAAATCAGTTTAAAGGAAGGATATCTTTTTCAACAAATGGTGCTACAGCAATTGGACATTCACAGGTACAAAAACTAAGACTGACCTAAATTTATACTTTATATAAAATTTAGCTCACATAAATCACAGGCTTAAATGTAAAATGTAATATTATAAAACTTAAAGTTGTGTATGGTAGCTCGTGCCTGTAATCCCAGCTACTACTCAAGTGGCTGAGGTGGAAGCATCACTTCAATCCAGCAGTTAGTGGCTGCAGTGAGCAATGATGGCACCACTGCACTACAGTTTGGGCGAAACCTCGTCTCAAAAATAATTAATAAATAAATAAATTCACTAAACTTTTTAAAATAGAAGAAAACTCTTGAGACCTTGGGCTAGGCAAAGAATTTTTAGGCTTGATATTAAAAACAAAATCTACAAAAGGAAAAAGTGATAAAACTGGACTTCATTAGAATAAATAAACACTTTTTTTTTTTTTTTTTTTTACTTAGAAAGACCCTGTAAAGAGGTTGAAAAAATGAATTACAGACTGGGAGAAATAATTTCATACCATATATCTGACAAAGAACTTACATCTAGCATATGTAAAAAATTCTCAAAACTCAATAGTAATAAGATACCAATTAGAAAATAGGCATATGTGACCTCTCTGTATTATAACTTAAACCTCATGTGACTACAATTATTTCAAATGAAATAAACAAAACAGTAATGCCTGTTTCTGGCATATAAAATAATCAGAGAACATAGAATTGTACGAAGTTAAATTATTGGGCCATTTACTTAATTTAAATATTTTTAAATGCGTGTACCCATTTTGCTTGAAGGTGTGTGCAAGTATGCTTGTATTTTTTTAACGATAATATGGTCACATGAGCATTAAATTTATTTTTTAAAAGTTTATAGTTACCCCACACAAGTTCTTATTGATTCCCTCATTCTTAACACCTGCATAGTATTTCATTTTATAATTAATGGATTGTAGGTTTATTCTTTTAAAATCACTTGTGTTGTTCTCATTTTTTTTTTCACTAAAAAGTGTTGCAATGCACAAAACTAAAAATATAAGGAGGGTCTTTTCTGGATCTCTGTTGAAAAACTTTGAATAAAAATTACAAGTTCAAATCACATGCAAAATAAACATTTTAATTAATCGGGCTTTTATGCAAGATGTTAGTAGCAGTAGCAGCACAGTTTTATTAAGATCCCTGAATCTCTCACAAAAACTGACTGAGCAACTGGGATAACAAGGTATTAACTACGACAAAACAATGTAACAGGGTGTCATCATGGACGTTTTGTGAGGTTAAACCACAGGGACCCAGGGGAATCACCAATTTTTTTGGAAGAAGGAAAGGAAAGGAAAAAAATGTTTAATGGCCCTGGGAACTGGAAAACCTAGAAATACAAGCGCTAACATCTATGTTCCTAAATTCAGAGATTCTTACTAGGCAAAAAGAACTCAGCAGATTAATCTGAGAACAGCAGCTGAGGCTGGCAGAAGGCTTCCTGGGCCTCAACTCATAGCTGAGAGTGAGGGTGGCAAAAAGCAGTGCTGTGAGTGGTCTGTTTCCTATGAACCCTACAAATTAACCACCCCCAAAACAAAGCCCTGTCCTAAGGAGAAACTGCAGGAAGTCAATTATAAATTGAGTTGGGAAGCACACTGAGGCTCAAGAAAAGGGAAGCTCCAGGTTAAGATGCAAGAGAAG
This sequence comes from Homo sapiens, assembly GCF_000001405.40. Lineage (NCBI taxonomy): Eukaryota > Metazoa > Chordata > Mammalia > Primates > Hominidae > Homo > Homo sapiens. The sequence goes on along the minus strand of NC_000009.12, from coordinate 63,426,863 downwards.
GGAAAAGGCAGTTTTCTGCAAGTTCAAGCACAAATAATTTCTTTACCTTCTAGTTCTGGAAATACCAGGTGCTGTGTATGTAAAGCAGGAATTTTGGTTGAATATTATATAATTTTCTGACCCACTGTTACTAATCCAGTTTCCCCTGTACTCAGATCTTCCATACTACAGACAGACCTGACAGATGCTCAGCAAATAGTAGCTAATATTTTCTAGGAAACTATGTGCTAAACGAGTTTTCTTAAATTTCTACCTCCAGGTCTGTAAGTTGATTTGAAGCATTACCAGTTTCTGGTTCTGCACAGGTTGTTGAGCGCAGGACTTCTCTCCTCCAGTGGAAAGTCCACCTGCTCACAATCAACCATCCTTTCCTGCAGCCTTGGAGACACTACTCAGTGTAGCACGCCTCCCAGTCTAGAATAGGCACACTCATCATCAGTCTCTCTCATTTTCTGTCTTATCTCCATTCCATCTACGTACAGTTTTTGTTTTCGCCAATGTTTTTAAATAAACAATTGTACAAGCACGACGACAACAGAAACCTTCCTTCCCCCAGTGTTGTAGTGAGCAAGGAATATATTTAACTTCAAATAAAAGACAAGAACAAATGCTGGATAAAGCTGACAGAAAGAAATGCAACTGTAGGTGCTCTGGCAATATAGAAATGATACAACTAAGAAAAATGGAAGAAAAGGAAAGAGAAAGTATTCCTCAGAATGATTTTACTGACTGCTCATCTGTAATGCCTGGGAGTCAAAGGATATTGTTTATAGAAATGTAAGCATACTTAATGGCACCAGGGGAAACAAAGTTAATATGATTAAATCAAATTGTGGGATGAAAAATCACATAGGGAGGACAAGAAAGAGAATACAGCTAATACCATTGTTCTTAGTTTAGAGACATTAGCTACTGTCTAAAGAAAGAGATGATTTTATGAAATTACATAAGGTAGCCATCAGAATAAAAGTTTAACTCTTCCAAATATCACAACATCAAAACAAAAGCAATAAAAACAAACAAGACAGCAAAAGACAGATATGTGCATATAAATCATAGCATAATATACTGTAATCAAAATATAACCAAACACAATTTATCATTAAAAGTAAGTGGGCTTGACTCTTATTAGAGGAAAAAAATATTGTCAGATTAAATCAAAAAGCAAATCTCAATTCTATGCTGGATATAAGATAAGGTGTTACAGAAAGTTTAGAAATAAAAGTATAGGCAATGAATAAAAGGATCTTCTCTTCATGCGTTAGGAGTATAAAACAGTAAGTAAACACATCATATGTTTTCTGTTTTTACACTTAAATGGCTGGAGATGTTACACCACTAGTATGAATTTACTTCAGATATATAAAGGATACACTTTTATGTGGTTAGAAACAGCAATGATAATAGGTAAGGTGAAAATAACTTCTGCATTGAGGCTAGGAAGAAAGAGCCATTGTTGGGTACATAGTGATCGTATTACCATGGAGCAATCTGTTCCCAACTGAAATGTCCTTGACCTTCTACTGAAATCATGTAAGATTCTGCAAAAGTAGTGTTTGCTTCCCACAAATCAGCCATTTGTGGGAATGGCTGCTATTGTTGTCCACACGGAATGAGCATCAGACCTATATTTAGCTGTTGTTTCATTAAGGGTCGTATTTGGCCCTTTCCAGAGGCTGTTATTTCAATTATATTTTGGAGAATTAGTCTATTTCCTGACAAATAATTTTTCCAGAACTTTGATCCATATGAAATGTCCCTTTGGTAGGGATCCAGGGATTGAGTTTATTTTTAATTACTGTAGCATCCTGGTCAGGTTGAGAAACAGATTACCTTTATATTTCCCTGGCATGTAAGCAGGGCTAGATTTAGCGTGAGAATGCTTGAAAGTTTATAGTTTTTTAGAAATTTTAATTACTGTGTGTCTCTTTATCAAAATAAAATTAATGCTGAAAAGCTATATTAAATGAATTATTTTGAGATGGTCTCTTCCCCCTTCTTCCAGTGAGAGGATATCCACAGATATGTCAGGAGCTTGCTTTACCTAGAAATGTGTTGAGGGCCACAGGTTTGGGTTCACCTAGGAATGTTTAGGGACACCTCCCCAAGTTGTTGTTGAAGAGTGGGGTAAATGTAAGATAGAATTAGGCTCATGGAGGCCAGATGAGAGCATCATATCACCCCAGAAACATAGCATATACCTAGGAGATCTGTTCTCAGTATCAAAGTCTTAAGCACTGTAAGATTGCCTATAGACCAAGACAACAACTATATATATATATAGTTAATAAAATCAGTTAATATATAAACATATATTTATTAACTTATTTTTATTTTTATCTTCAGACAGCATCTTGCTCTGTCACCTAGGCTGGAGTGCAGTAGTGCAATTAAGGCTCACTGCAGCCTTGACCTCTGGGGCTGAAGCTATCCTCCTGCCTCAGTCTCCTAAAGTGCTAGGATGAGAGGTGTGAGTCACCTTGCCAGGCCCAGGGCAATAACTATGCAATGTTTATATAATTTGGAGCAAAACATATTTGAAATATGTGTGCATTGCTCTTTAACCTTTTCTACTGATTTACTTTATTAAATACTGAATAGAAACAATATATTTATAAAATATTTATTTTATATATATAATAAGCACATAATGAACACCTGTGTCTCCAGTCTTGGTTTAAGAAATTAAGCCAAAAGTAATCATAAGTGCTTATGATTACTTTTGAAGTCACCTGTACAACTTTTGCTGACTACATCCCCTTCTTCAACACTCTAACGATGGCCACTGTGAGCACTGTGTATATTGAATTGTGTTGTATTTTAATACGGTGTGCACTACTTTGTTTTCCTAGCTGTATGCTATTGCATTTAGTGAGCATAATGAATTATATCAGTATAATTCACTTTTGTCATTTCATTGTTTCAGCTCTTCTGTACTAATTATTGCCAATATATTTCTACTGGCATAAAAACAGACACATAGGACAGTGGAACAGAATAGAGATCGCAGACAAATCTACACATTTACAAACAATTCATCTCTGACAAAGGCATCAAGAACATACACTGGGAAAACAACAGTCTTTTCAATAAATGATCCTGGGAAAACTGAATAACCATATGCAGAAGGATAAAATTAAACCCATCTCACCATACACAAAAATCAAATCAAATAAAAATGGATTAAAGACTTGAATCTGAGACCTGAAACTATGAAGCTAGTAAAAAAAACAAAATAGGAAAGGCCGGGCGCGGTGGCTCTTGTCTGTAATCTGAGCACTTTGGGTGGCCAAGGCGGGCGGATCACAAGGTCAGGAGATCGAGACCACCCTGGCTAACACGGTGAATCTCCATCTCTACTAAAAATACAAAAAACAAAAAAAAAAATTAGCGGGGCATGATGGTGGGCGCCTGTAGTCCCAGCTACTCGGGAGGCTGAGGCAGGAGAATGGCGTGAAAAAAAAAAAAGAAAGAAAGAAAGAAAGAAAGCATAGGAGAAATGCTCCAGGACATTAGTCTGGGCAAAGATTTTTTTGCATAAGACCTCGGAAGCACAGGCAACAAAAGCAAAAATAGACAATGGGATTATATCAAACTAAAAAGCCTCAAGCAAAGGAAACAATCAACAAAGTGAAGAGCCAAGCACAGAATGGGACAAAATATTTTCAAACTATCTATCTGACAAAGGATTAACAAGTAGAATATATAAGGAGCTCAAACAACTCAATAATAAACAAACAAAAAATCTGATTGAAAAATGGGCTACTGAAGAGGCTGAGGTAGGAGGATTTCTTTTTTTTTTTTTTTTTTTTTTTTTAATGAGATGGAGTCTCGCTGTCGCCCAGGTTGGAGTGCAGTGGCGTGATCTCGGCTCACTGCAGGCTCTGCTCCCCCGGGGTTCACGCCATTCTCCTGCCTCAGCCTCCTGAGTAGCTGGGACTACAGGCGCCCGGCACCAAGCCCGGCTGATTTTTTGTATTTTTAGTAGAGATGGGGTTTCACCGTGTTAGCCAGGATGGTCTCGATCTCCTGACCTCGTGATCCGCCCACCTCTGCCTCCCAAATTGCTGGGAATACAGGCGTGAGCCACCGCGCCCGGTCAGGAGGATTTCTTAATCCCAGGAGTTTGAGGTTACAGTGAGCTATGATTATGCTACTGCCCTTTAGCTTGGGTGACAAAGCAAGACCTTACTTCTCAAAAAAAATAGTTAAAAATATATAAATAAATACAATTTAAAAATGGGCTAAAGATCTGAACAGATATTTTCTCAAAAGAAGACAAACAAATGGCCAATAGGAAGACAAAAAATATTCAGTATCACTAATCGTCAAAGAAATGCAAATCAAAATCACAATGCAATATCATCTCACCTTGGTTGAAATGACTTGTTTCAAAAAGACAGGCAATAACAGATGCTGGCAAGGATGTGGAGAAAGGGAAATACTAGTACACTGTTGGTGGGAATCCACATTAATAAAGCCACTATGGAGAATAGTATGGAGGTTCCTCAAAAAAGTAAAAATAGAACTACCATGTGGTCCAGCAATTTCTTTACTGGATATATATCCAAAATAAAGGAAATTAATGTATCAAAGACATATCTACATGCCGATGTGTACTGCAGCACTATTCACAATAGACAAAATATGGAATCAACGTAAGTGCTCATCAACAAATGAATAGATTTTAAAAGTCATATATATACATAATGCAATACTACTCAGAAACAAAGAAGAATGAAATTCTGTCATTCACAGCAACATAGGTGGCACTGGCCATTTGGTTTAACGTAATGAACATAGGCCATTATGTTAAGTGGAATGAGCCAAGCACAGAAAGGCAAATACCACATGTTGTCACTCATATGTGGGCAGTAAAAAAGTGGATCTCATGAAGATAGAAAGTAAATTGGTGGTTGCTAGAGGCCAGCAAGGGGAGTGGGAAGAGGAGATTAAGAGAAGAAAATATAAATGTATTTATCACCACTAAACTGTCCTCTAAAAATGTACAGATGGTAAATTATATATATATATTTTTTAACTCAATAAAAAGTTAAAAAAATTCTGCTGTGTGTTTATAGGGCACATGTACAAGACTTTCTCTAGGGTTGTATCAGTTTTCTATTCCTGCTGTAACAATTTACCACAAATTCAGTGGCTTAAAAGAACACATTTTTGTAAGATTTGAGTCAGTTTTAAAAAACACACACAGACTTATTGTCTTAGAATTGTTTTGGTTGGAAATCTGGCATGGCTCTCACTGAACTAACATCAAGATGTTGGCAGGCTGCATTTCTTTCTGAAGGCTCTAAAAGAGCATCTGGGTTGTTGGCAGAATTCAGTTCCTTGTGGTTGTAGATCTTCAGTTTCTTCCTGGTTGTAAACTTTGGGTCATTCCCAGCTTCTAAAGGTCACTGGCTTTTCTTGGCTTGTGGCCCCCTACCACTGTTTTAAAAGCCAGTAATAGCAGGCCACATCTTTCTCATACTGCCATCTGTCTGAATCTCAGCATCCAGAAAATATTCTCTGCTCTCAAGGAATTATGAGATTAGACTGGCTCACCAAGGTAATTCAAGGTAATTTCCCCATTTCAATGCCCTTAATGGTAATCACATCTGCCAAGTCTCTTTGAACATGCTAACTTACGTTAGCATGTTCACCTTATCTGAAGACTGGGATGTGGCTGTCTTTGGTGGGGGGCAATTATTCTGCCTAACCCAAAGATACACAACTTGCAGATATACAACTAGTTCATGGAGATGAAACATTTTCAAATCTACAAGAAAATGTTTTCTAAAATGAGCATTGCATATTAGACTTTCACGAGCACTGTATCAGACTTATATTTACTTCATAATATTGCCAATACTGATATCAGATATTTAATTTTCTAGCCAGTTCAGGATAATGTGAATTGTGAATAATATATTTGTTCATCCAGTCAACAAACATTTTTTATCAGATACCACCGATATGCTGGACAGTGTCATGGATCCTAAAAATATAGCTGTTATTATTATTTTTTAAAACAAAATCCCCACTGTGATAAAGCTTTTATTCTTTGGGACAGGCAGACAGTAATCCAGATAAATAAATGCAAGGGCAAATTGGGGGAAAAATTGGAATGGAGAGCTCAGAATCTGGCCCCAGAGAAGGGCAGAGGGAAAGGGGACCCAGTTCAGAATCTCGGTGCGTCCACACCAAACAATTCCATGAGGGCTGAAGAGACAGAGCTGAAAGGCTTGTCTGACATCACAAAAGACAGAAAAGTGAGCCCCATTTTCATCTCTATCCTGACAATGTTCCTGGCTTGATTTCCTCCTTCCAGCAGACACAAGAATCAGGGAGCGCACCCTGATGGTAACATTTTTTTCAGGGGCCTATTTTGGGGATCCTGGTGAGAACCTGAGTCCGTCACTGTCCACGGCAGCCCAGCATGGTCCCCAGTGCGTGGTCCAAGGCCAAGATTCTCTACCTCCATCCTGGAGGCAGAAGAAATGTCTGGGGGAAAATGAGAGGTTTTAGGTGGTTGGCACTGGGTGAGACCAAGGAGAAATTTTAAAGCTGTGTGTCCTGGGGCCGGGGGTGGTGGCTCACGCCTGTAATCCCAGCACTTTGAGAGGCCGAGGCGGGCAGATCACGAGGTCAGGAGATTGAGACCATCCTGGCTAACGGTGAAACCCCGTCTCTACTAAAAATACAAAAAATTAGCCGGGCTTGGTAGCGGGCGCCTGTAGTCCCAGCTATTCGGGAGACTGAGGCAGGAGAATGGCGTGAACCGGGAGGCGCAGCTTGCAGTGAACTAAGATCGCGCCACTGCACTCCAGCCTGGGTGACAGAAAGAGACTCCTTCTCAAAAAAATAAAAATAAAATAAAAATAAAAAATAGAAAAAGCTGTGTGTCCTTTGTTTCTTCATATTTTGCAGATTTTTGATGTTAAAATATTTTCATAGTCAAAAGAGTGTTAATAAAGAATGACTTCTCTGTTATAAAAACCCTAATAGTGAATGTATTTACCAAGAAATTAGATTCTATCTTTGGTTTTTTGTTTTTTGCCCCGTAGTTTTTAAAAAAATAGTTTTATTGTGTGGATATTCTACAGTTAGTGTATCTATTCACCTCTTGATGGACATTTGGTTTGCTTCCAGTTGTTTTTGCTATTTCAAATAAAGTTGCTACGAATGTTTGTCCAATCGTTTGGACATACACTTTCATTTGTCTTGGGCAAATAAGCAGGATTTGAATGACTAGGTGGTGTGATATGTTTAACTTTTTTTTTTTTTTTTTTTTTTGAGACGGAGTCTCGCTCTGTCGCCCAGGCTGGAGTGCAGTGGTGCATCGCGGCTCACTGCAAGCTCCACCTCCCGGGTTCACGCCATTCTCCTGCCTCAGCTTCCGGAGTAGCTGGGATTACAGGTGCTCGCCACCATGCCCGGCTAATTTTTTGTATGTTTAGTAGATATGGGGTTTCACCGTGTTAGCTAGGATGGTCTCGATTTCCTGACCTCGTGATCCGCCCGCCTTGGCCTCCCAAAGTGCTGGGATTACAGGCGTGAGCCACCGCTCCCAGCCAGTTTAACTTTTAAAGAAACTGACAAAGTGGCTGTATTTCCAGCAGCAGTATATGAGCATTCCTGTTCCTTTGTGTTCTCACCAATGTTTAGTATGGTCAGTCTTTTAAATTTTAGCTATTCTAATAGGCAAGTAACAGTATCTCATTGTGGTTTTAATTTACATTTCCCTAATGATGAATGATGTGCTTATGTATCGTCCATCTGTATTCTATGGTGAAATGTCTGTTCAGATCTCTACATTTGTGTTAGACTATTTGTTTTCCTATTATTGAGTCCTGAGAGTTCTTTGCATATTTTGGATAACAAATGTATCTTCACCAGATATAGCTTTTGTAAATTTTTACTCCCAGTCTGTGATTTGTCTTTTTATTCTCTCGATAGTGTTTTTCTTTTTTCTTTCTTTTTTTTTTTTTTTTGACAGAGTCTGGCTCTGTCACCCAGGCTGGATTTCGGTGGCACGATCTCGGCTCACTGCAAGCTCCGCCTCCCGGGTTCACGCCATTCTCCTGCCTCAGCCTCTACGAGTGGCTGGGACTACAGGCGCCCGCCACTACGCCCCGCTAATTTTTTGTATTTTTGGTAGAGAGGGGTTTCATCGTGGTCTAGATCGCCTGACCTCGTGATCCACCCACCTCGGCCTCCCAAAGTGCTGGGATTACAAGCGTTAGCCACCGCACCTGGCCTCTGGACAGTGTTTTTCACAGGTCAGATTAATTTTTATATAAATCATTTATTTTATTTTTATTATGTAAAATTTTATAATTTTTAATTTTATTTTTAATTTCCTTTTTAAAAGTTAAATAAAATTTTAAGTGTAATGATGCAAAATTTTGTTTAAAAGTAAATGTATATAAAAATGTTGATATAGACTAAAAAATTGAATAAGTAAGAAGGTAGTTAGTTGTCACAGTAGGAGTGAAGTGAAAAGCTTCCCCTTTCACCCTCTGAAGATTACCGGAAATGAACTGACCATACACAGATTAATAAAAGAAAGGGTATACAAACTTACATAACCTGCAAAAACATGAGAGCTATACACAAAGTATAAGACTTGAAGATGGCTCAGATCTTAAACGCTCTCCTCATAGGCAATAGATATATAGACCCAGGATGCAGACATTATTTTGTAAATAATTTCCTTTGGAAGCTGGATGGGACAGACAAATTACAGGAAGGTGAGAGATGGAACTGCACAGGAAAAAAGTTTGTCTTTGTCACTTTAATCTTATCATTACTAGAGAATATTTATGAATATTTTAGAATAATATATTTTTAAGCCCAAATCTCACCAAATGTTTTTTCTAAAACAAATACTTTTTGTTGTTGTTTGTTTTTGTTACTGTGTCTCACTCTGTCACCCAGGTATGGAGTGCAGTGGTGCAACCATGGCTCACTGCAGCCTTCACCTCCTGGGCTCAAGTGATTCTCCTACCTCAGCCTTCCAAGTAGCTGGGCTACAGGCATGCACCCTCATGCCCTGGTAATTAAAGAAAAAAAAATTTCGTTAGAGACCAAGTCTCATTATGTCACCCTGGCTAGTCTTGAACTCCTGGAATCAACTGATCCTCATGCCTTGGCTTCCCAAATTATTGGGATTATAGGTGTGAGCCACAGTGACTGACCACATATTTCTATACTTCACTGAGGAAAGGAAGGTGCTAGGAAAATTGGTTAAGAACTATTTTTTAAAAAGCTATTAGTAGTGTTTTATTTTATTTTATTTTTTAATGATTGATTTTTGAGATTGGGATCTCACTATGTTGCCCAGGCTGGTTTCACATTCCCAAGTTTAAGCAATACCCCTGCCTCAGTCTCCCAAGTAGCTGGGATGACAGGTGTGTGTCACCATACCCAGCTCCATTAGTAGCGTTTTTAACAATTGTGGGCCACTGAGTAAGAATAATTTTTTTTAAATTAAAGGTTATTTTTTAAAAAGCACATTTGTAGAAAATTACTAGCATAATCTGCCTAAAATAAATATACATATTGAAAAAATCTTTGCTCCGAACAAAAAGAAATATATTCACCACACATACATACATATACACACACACACATGCACACACGCACACACACACACACACACACACATTATGGAAGATTTCAAGACCAGGCAATAATTTCCACTCAATCCAAAAACAATGCAATCCCAGAGCTGAATATTTAGGTGAAAATATATCAGGAATGGGAGGCATTCAGGTTTAATTTTCATGTTTTGGTAGAGTTAGGATGTGAGTTTTCATTTAAAAATATTCTTTATTTTTTTTGCTACTATTGTGGTTTCTGTATTGTTACTATACAATCTGTAAACTAAATAGTAAAGGAGAGAAAAGTGATTTTCAAAGAAGCTGGCTTGGGAACAGGTACTATTCTGGGAAGATGAAAGGTTTCACTTAATGACTGGTACCTGTGCCACTCTGGTTATTTTAACTGTTAACCTTTTAGCAAGAGGTTTTTCTTTTAAAAGACATCCTTTAATATTTGGGAAGCTAGTGCAATAGTACACATTGAGGCACACATACCACATGCCAAATATTTAAAAGGCACATTTCTAGCTAACCACTGTACATACATATATTTTTTCTTATTTTCTGATTTTAGTTTTTTTCCTTGTCAACAATTTATGTCCACACATATCTTCTATCATCCCACTTTGACAAGTAATATTATACCTTCAAAATGATGTGGAAGACTAGATTGGAATTTAGAACCGTAGAACCTTGTAATTGTACAGGCAAGTTTCTTCCTGGGAAAAAATAAAACAGGAAGAAAAGGCTGGGCAGCCTCTGGTTCAGGAAGGAAATTCAGGAGTCCCTTATAGCAGCATCTCTAGTACTTGGGAACCGAACAGACTTCTCGGCCTGTGAGGCTGGAATGGGCCCTTCTGGAGAACACGACAGAGAAGTTATCTACTGCCTTTGCCCCCAGGGCCCAGGCAACACTTTTACCCTCCATTGTTTCTGAAGTTAAGGGGAGGAGACAATGTTTTGTTTAGTGACCTCGACAGAAAAAGTGTCCTCCTGCAACCACTCATTTGTTACTTTCCTTCTTCCTGAATTGCCTGGACCCACTCCTCCTCCATTTGACTGGCTCTGTGCACTGATCTTATAGTCAGGAGATTTTTGGGAATTGTGGCTTCTAAAAATGTACACCCGACTCTACCCATAGCTGGCCCTGTGAACCTACACACCTGCTCCACTGTGTATCCTTCTCAAAGAGACACTCTTCCTGCTGAGTCTCTGCCCTCTGCTCCTAGATCCAAATGGCATCTCCTACCCTATCCCTGTATGGTTTAACCTAGGGAAACTCTTTCCCAGAGGAGTCAGGTAAGGAGACAGTGGCTGAGCTTCTTACAGACTTAAAGGAGACATCCTGGAATTTAGGAGTCAGTCCTTCCTTTCTGTAATCCCTGGCAGCTCCTGCTGCTGCTCAAAGTTTAGCTTTGTCTCTCATCCAGCTCAGACTTTTGCTGGTCCTGATGGCCTCTGCTTAGCTGTATTAGTACGCTCTTGCATTCCTATAAAGAAATACATGAGAAATACCTTTAGTTGGCTCACAGTTCCATAGGCTATACAGGAAGCATGGTGGTTTCTGCTTCCGGGGAGGCCTCAGGAAACTTTTACTCAAGGTGCAGGGCAAAAAAAAACAAAAAACAACAAAAAAAAAAAACTACCAGCACTGCACTGTGAGGCCCTGATCCCTGAGCTAACTTCATATTATTACCTCTACAGCAAGTGTCCGTGAGAACATAGATATATTTCTTATGTGAGTACACAATTTACAGAAGAGGAACTACCCTCCCAAACCAAAACAAAATGTCATAATTTTAATTTACCAGCAAACCTAGGTTGCTTCTGTGAAATGATCTCATTTGCTGAGTTTTAAAATTGACTAAATTTCCCAATTTCCAAATGAAAATATTTAGTTGTCTTGCTATGTGTTTTTGGTTAATATGATGATTAATTTTTGGTCTATTACTTAATATATTCCATGATTGTTGATATGGATTATAAGGACTCACAAAATAGTTTTCAGATGTCTTTAAATTTTTTACTTAGTGTAGATCCTATAAATGGATTAGGAGTATTCTATTAACTCCCATGTATTCAGAAATCGAATTGGAGTGGTAAATTCTGTTTGAAGTAACAAGGGATATCAAAGGAAAAAAATAATTTTGTGACTATGTCTTCTATACGTAAATTTTTCAGGCATCTTTATCAATGGCTTATACTAAAGACATTTTCTGGATCATGGGTGACACACAGAAGACCTGTGGATAAGTGGCATTGTGTACACTACTGCATTTTATCATCTGGTTCATTTTTCAACTTTTATTTCTCTTAAGGATGTTTTATTAACTGGTGCATCACCAGGTTACCAGTCTCTGGAACACTAAACTTACCAGAAAATACTTGTTGATTGAATTAACAAGAAAACAACATTAGAAAACAGTGGTGGCTTGTTTTTGTCCATTGCAGTATCTTGGAGAGTAAAGCCTAACTCTTTAATTTTGGCCAAAGATATAAAGAAATACCTGAGAAACACCTTTAGTTGGCTCATGGTTCCGTAGGCTATACAGGAAGCATGGTGGTTTCTGCTTCTGGGGAGTCCTCCAACACTTACTGGCAGGGTAATTTTGAAGAAGTCATAATAAGATGGTTGTTACAATTAAATGAAATAATCAAAGTGGAAGAGCTTAGTTAGCTGTCTTCCCTAAATGAATCACTGGCAAGTAAGAGTGTGATTGATTTTCCTACCAGTCAGGACTCACCCCTTGAAGCTATAGGAGGGTAAACCTCTGAAGACCATACAATTTAGGGAACACTAACACCTCAAAAACCTCTGTAAACTTCCTTCCTTCCTTTTCTTCCTTCCTTCCTTCCTTCCTTCCTTCCTTCCTTCCTTCCTTCCTTCCTCCTTCCCTCCCTCTCTCTCTCTCTTTTTCTTTCTTTGTTCATTTCTGAGACAGAGTCTTGCTCTGTCATTCAGGCTAGAGTGTAGTGGCTGGATTATGGCTCACTGCCGCCTTGACCTCCTAGGCTCAAGTAATCCTCTCACCTCAGCCTCCCTAGTAGCTGGGACTATTGGCATGCTCAGCTAATTTTTTTCTCCTTTTCTTTTTGTAGAGACAGGGTCTCATCATGTTGCCCAGGCTGGTCTTGGACTCCTTGGATCAAGCAATCCTGCTGCCTCAGCCTCCCAAAGTGCTGGATTACAAGCATGAGCCACTGTGCCCAGCCTTAAGTTTTTTTCATACAGGAGGAAAGAATTTGGAAAGTAGGTGTGTGTGTGTGTGTGTGTGTGTGTGTGTGTGTGTGTGTGTGTGTGTGTTGGTTAGGGAGCCAACACATTTTTCTGCAAAGCTTGAATTCTATGCCTCAGTTTTTCATTTTTGTTATGTGCAAAATAAAATCGTATCCTGCTATAGATTTAAACCTGTGAGCGAATCCTACTCAAAACCTGATTCAAACTTTGTGTAGATCTTTGCCTCTCTGTGGCATAAGAATAAATTCTTCTGGTTTTCTTCCCTCAGAAAAATGGACTTAGACTTCCCACAAGCCTTCCAGAAAGAACTCACCTGCCTTATCTGCCTGAATTACCTCATAGACCCCATCACTATAGGCTGCGGGCACAGTTTCTGTAGGCCCTGCCTCTGCCTTTGCTGGGAAGAAGCACACACTCCTGCCCTGCATGCAGGGAATTGTCACAGCAGGAAGATTTCAACCAATATTCTTCTGAAGAATCTAGTGTCCATTGCCACAAAAGCCAGTCTCTGGCAATTCCTGAGCTCTAATGAACAAATGTGCGGGATCCACAGGGAGACAAAGATGTTCTGTGATGTGGGCAAGAGCCTGCTCTGTTTTCTGTGTTCTAACTCTCAGGAACACTGGGGCACAGAAACACTGGCTCACTGAAGGGGCAGCTAAGGAACACTGTGTAAGTGATGACTCAGAGCACTTTGAAAGCTGGAGGGCAGCACAGGTAAAGAGATTAGGAGGAAGATGAAGAGCACGAGGATTAATCTATTCTTTACCGAGTGTCATGTACTGCCTAGGTATCAGTGATATAACTATTATCCTGCTATCAAATCTACTGATAAGTGGCTCATTTAACTTATAGGCACTCATCACAATGCAAGAAATCCTCTGACTGCTCCTACCATCATGGCCCCTAGCCATGATATGACTTGTCTCCACACTAGCAGAAACTAATCGAGTCCCTATATTAGGGATAAGTGGCATTTATATATATATATATATATAATTTTTATATATAAATTTTATATGATATATAAAACATAAATATTTATACTATATTATATACATATATACATACATATATATTACATACATATATACATATATATATATATATATATATATATCACAATGCCAAAAATGTTTTGTCTTCGAAATAATCACAGTGCATTTGGAGAGACAAATGCATCTACAACCAGGCGACAACACTGAAAATAAAATTGTAGCAGTTTGAATAGGGGATTAAATGAGTTAATTTTTTCCTGGGGTTCAAAAAAAGAAACAGCAGCAAAAAATGGTACTTAAGATTGAAAGTTGGCCGGGTGCAGCTACTCATGCCTGTAATCTCAACACTTTGGGAGGCCAAGGTGGGCAGATAACCTGAGGTCAGGATTTCGAGACCAGCCTGGCCAACATGGCGAAACAACACCATTACTAAAAATACAAAAATTAGCTGGGCATGGTGGCAGGTGCCTGTAATCCCAGCTACTCGGGAGGCTGAGGCAGGAGAATCTCTTGAACCCAGGAGGCAGAGGTTGCAGTGAGCCAAGATCACGCCATTGCACTGCAGCCTGGGTGACAAAAGCAAAACTCCATCTCAAAAAAAAAAAAAAAAAAAAAGAAAGTTCTGGGTTATGACACAGAACATATGCAACATGAATATGTCATGGTTATGAACATGTAGACTACTCAAGATTGTGTATTTTTAAAATAATAGAATACTAGGTTAAAAAATTAGCATTACAGAATGAAAAATAAGCCACAAATTAGCAGAAGATAATTGTAACACATAAAAACAAAAGATTAAATACAATGGTAATGTAATGATAGCTATTCTTACAAAGTTGTTTCTATGTCTCAGGTACTATTCTGAACAACATACGTGCATCTTGAATGCGTGAAGAATTCCTATATAAGAAAAACACAAACAACAACATTTAAAATGAGCAAAAAACCCGTATAGGAATTTCACAGAAGAGAAAACATAAATGGCCCATAAACACAATAAAAGATGCTCAACTACAATTCTAATCAGGGAAATAAACATTAAAACCCCAAAGAGATACCACTTCATACTCTAGGAAAAACCTAAAAGGCTGTGAATATCTAGTTTCATTGAGGAAGAACAATGGGAAGACTATTCACTGCTGGTGAGGGTGTAGATTGGTACAACTGCCTTGGAGAACAGTATGATGCCACTCAATAGAGCTGAACACACACATGCCCAATGACCAAGCAATTCCACTCCAGGTACATACAGGAAAAATACTCCTGCACAAGTAGAATAGGAGACACTGCATAACAAAGTTCACTACAACATGAGGCTGAGGTGGGAAGATGGCTTGAGACCAGGAGTTCGAGGCTGCACCAGTAGCTGGGACTATAAGCATGTGTCACCGTGCCTGGCTAGTTTTTTGCTGTTGTGGTTGTTGTTAGAGATGAGGTCTTCCTTTATTGAACAAGCTGGTCTCCAACTCCTGGCTTCAAGTGATCTTCCCACTTCTGCCTCCCAAAGTGCTGGGATTACAGGTGTGAGCCACCATGCCCAGCCAAGTTCTGCTTCTTAACCTGAGGTAGATACTTTGATGTTTCATTTTCCTTTATTGTACAGATATACTTTATATTCTCATGTGACACAAGTCAAAATTTAAAAAAACAATTTAATGTTTATTCCCTTTAGATGAATGATGGGCAAATTTACATAATGAATTCATTACTGAAACAATGTATAGATTTCAGACTAGGAAAGTAACTATTTATAAAAGAAAAGCTTAAAACCTGAAACAGAAACAAAATCCTGAAACTGTAAAATTGAGTCAAACTAAAATTTAAAAAACAAAGCAATGATATAAAGTATCATTTGTCCAAATGTGTTCTACAAAATGCTTTTTTCTTAAATATGTCTGAGGAAAAACAGGTTCTAGGAGTAAAATATGTTTGAAAAATGCTGAGTTAAACAACTGAACCTATGAAGGAAGGAATAGAACTTCTCAAGCTCTTGACTCTGGAATCTTTTTTACATGGCAATTAACACCATGCTTCTTCTTGGATTTGTATTTCAGATAAACACAATCTGGGAAACATTTTATAATACAGAGGGCCACACCAGATTGAATATTGCCCCCAGGAATGAAATGAAAACAGGAATGGATTCTCCAGTAAGAGGTACCCAGATATCCTAATCTTCAGTAGCTGACCTGAACCCTGGACAAGTGGGATCAAATCCCATAACCAAACACAACTTTTTAGGAACTAAGTGGATAATCACTCTGTGTTGTATGAACATGTGGGCAGTGTGTTTCCTACACAGCTTAAAAGTGCAACAAAAAAAGATCTAGGTGTCATATAAAGAATTTCTACCACTGTTAGGGTAATGGTGGACTGACAGGCAGAGGGTCTCAGATGTGACTTAAGTAAAGTTCAATAGAAGCTTCCAGCACAGATATTCATGTTTCAAATTGGACCGCTCAGTTAAAAAGTTTTCCCATTAGACTTCCCCTAATCAAATTAGAAATTATCTAATTTTCTAATAAAGTTTTCCCCAGGCACAAGGAATCTGTGAACTGGACCTAAAAAATTCTTCGTAATGTGCTTTTATTACCATAAAAGATGCACATTTATTTTAAAAACTTCTCTACACCACTATCATAAACCTTTGCACACACTTATTTCTTTTGGAAACTAACTTCTGAGTGGTAATGAAATATATTCTTAAGAAAAAAGTCCGACACAATGCCTTTGCGTCTTAAAATATGTTAAAATATTATTTGAAAAGAGTCAAACATCTGTCTTTTCAGGGTATCACAGGGCGTCAAACTGGAAAATGTGGCACTGCCTGGAGTTTCTACCTGGTGAAGGGTGGCAGACTTTTCTCTTCAGAGGACTCTTGACAGGGTAGCATCCATTATCTTGCCAATTTACTACAACCTAGGCCCAATCCTCAGTCTTATAGGTTCAGAAATTTATTTTTATCAGCATCAACAGGGTAGCTACATTGCTTAGAAGCAAACAAAATTAACCATGCTTCAATAGAAATCAGGATATAGATGTATTAATACAGAATGACAAATATAACTGTGACAGAAATAGGAATGCCTGTTTATGGTCATATACGGCCAATACTTTCATTACAGCCAAACTCATACATGCAGCCAAATAAGAGGCCCCTGGATACACAGGGAATCAGAATAAAAAAAGAAGAACTGAACATTTAATAGTCTTCTTTCATTCAATCAATAATTTTTTTTAATTAAGCAACTACTATGTCCGGGTAACCTTCTAGGTCCTGGGGATACAGAGGTCTCTGCTTACAGAAGTCATATGTAAGTAGCAGGTGAAGAGTATGTGTTTCACAGAAGTTTATTACAATATATTAACAAGAGCAAAAAATTTTGGAAGCAATCTAAATGTTCAATAATAGAGCTCCAATTAAATAACAATAAATCCAAATAATGAAAAATAATGCAGCCCTTTAAGAATAAGCACTTGCAAGCCGTAATTCATGACATGGGAAAATTATCATAATGGAAAAAGAAGCAAGCTATATATAGTGCATGATCCTATACACACACATACATACATACATATTTCCTATCCCTTTATATGCATAAGAAAACAAGCGGGAGGAAAGTCATATCTTTAGTCAAGTCTTGTTTACTAACGTACTATTAATGATTATCTTTTCTTTTTCTTTATACTTTTTGCATTTTTCAATTTCCTAAAATAGCCTTACATGCCTTTTATCACCAGGAGAAAAATTACTTCTAAAGTAATTTCAGTCAACATGCATACTAAGAACTCTTCAGATTTATCTGTTAGAAGCTGTGCATGAATGCCAGTCCTTGCATCTGTCTTGGAACTCACAGAGAGCTCTTTTCCCATGGCTTTAAGCAATACTCAAAAAGACTAGCATACCTGAATTTCCTAGTCCTATGTTTTTTTCATCCAACAGCCAGTCTTGTATTTCTAGCTGTTTTCTAAACATTTCAACCAAACCATTTTACAGATAACTCATACAGTCATCCTTTGATATGCATGGGGAATTGGTTCCAGGATCCCCCTTGTATACCAAAATCTATGGATGCTCAAGTTACTGGTATAAAATAGTGTAGTATTTGCATATAACCTGCACACATCCTCCTATATACTTTAAATCATCTCTAGATTACTTAATAACAATTAATACGATGTAAATGCTATGTAAATAGTTGGTATACCATGTTGTTTTTTATTTGTATCATTTTTTATCATTGTATTGTTTTTTCTGACAATTTTGTTCCACAGTTGTTTGAATCGGTGGATGCAGAACCCATGAATATGGAGAGTCAATTGCATTTTATTATGCCCAAAGGTAAATGCATAATTTTTCCACACAGCTAATCTTCTAGCAACCCCATTGCTGTCCATGGCAAACAGGCTTAGTTAATCTCGCCCTTTCCCGTTTCAGGTTCATTATACACCATGGAATACTATGCAGCCATAAAAAATGATGAGTTCATGTCCTTACTAGGGACATGGATGAAGCTGGAAACCATCATTCTCAGCAAACTATCACAAGGACAAAAAACCAAACACCGCATGTTCTCACTCATAGGTGGGAATTGAACAATGAGAACACTTGGACACAGGAAGGGGAACATCACACACCAGGGCCTGTTGTGGGGTGGGGGGAGGGGGGAGAGATAGCATTAGGAGATATGCCTAACATAAATGATGAGTTAATGGGTGCAGCACACCAACATGGCACACGTATACATATGCAACAAACCTGCACATTGTTCATGTGTACCCTAGAATTTAAAGTATAAAAAAAATAAAAAAATAAAGAAAGAAATAGATGTTCTGTAAAAATATACACAATTTTTACAAATACATTTATAAGTTGTTTTATCTTGAAAATTGGGGATATTTCATATTTATAACTAACTATTGAGCCTTAAGTTTTCTTGGCCATTTCTAGGCTAATAAACTAAGAATCATGTAAACTAAGCCAAAGTAGAATAGACATAAAAGTCCTGAACACTTCAACTTCCTATCCTTCAAGAAGTATACCTCGCAAAGCTCATTTGAGAGAGGAAAAGCTTTCCTCCACCCTCAGTTTTACAGTGCTGAGGCTTCTCATCACATTTCTATGACTTGTAGCTTAAATCCATGTTACATGGTCACTGGCATTGTTAGTGCTTCTCTTTTAACACTGTAGGAATTAATCAATTTGGTGGCATATTTAATTAATTCTATCACTAGAGGATTGTAAAATTACATATATGAATACCTCACTTTAGAGGCCACTTAATTTTTTTCCAAGGGGATATTTGACTATATTTCACTTGTGTGTTATTTAATGATTTTATAATTTAAACCCTAAATTATAAATCTAGAATTTAGAAAGTATATTTCCCCACTGGATTACATTTTTGGAAATATTACTTTATATGTGCACAAATATTACAAAATCACTGTAGACACCTGAAAACTATATTATCTTTTAAAGACAATATTTACATTAAACTGGTATAACAAAATTGTTTGGTGCATTTTTTCCAGTACATTTTGTGTATATTACATGTTTAACCTTTTTTTATTCAGCAAATAATTTTTGAGTATCTACTAAGTGCTAGGTTCTGCATTACTAACTGAATTTAAAGAGTGAAATAACAGACATGGTCTCAGACAATAAAAATTAACATTAGGTCACTTATTTATATATTTTTAAATGGTAATTATGAAAACTTTTTGAGATTTTTAACTAGATAACATTATAATAACGCACTTGATGTTGTTAATATTTGCCAGTGAGCAAAAAAGAAAATAAAAAGATGGTTTTATTCAATATACACTTTAAAATTGCAGAAAATAGTCAAGTTTCTCTGCTTTGCAGTTGAATGTCTATGTGTTTTTCTCTGCAACTTGGCTTTTGTGGAGTGAAACAATTATTCTTCCAGCCCAATGAAGGCAGAAGAGTAACAATAAATCTAATATTTTAAATGCTTATCAAAAGATAGTAAACACATTATTTCAGAATACTGAGTTCAATAAGTTGACCTACAAAAAAAGCCAAACTGACAGTATTACTGAATAAGGAAAGGCCCAAAGAGACAAAATACTTTTTATTTTGTAACCTCGGTATGACACAACTTACCCTAACTATAAAGACCCTAAATTACCAAGATGGGTGCTTATAATATGGAGAGTTACAAAGTCATTTCACTTTTAGCTTTTTTATTTCTCTCAGAATAAAAAGTGTATAAGGAGTTGATAAAGAAGTTGATACTATAAGTTAGTACTACAATGACAGCACTTTTCAAGAAAAGACTTTTTTCTCTCTTACAAATATCATGTTAGCAGTATTTGTTTTCTCCAGAAATAATGAGTAAATAAAAACATAAGTATGTGGGTAATTAGTGTAGTTTCTTAAATAAATGAGTTAGGCAACAGGCTAATAATGTATATTTCACTGGCTTTTCAATGCCAACAATCATATTCTTTATAAGGCACAGAGAAGATTTTTCTAAAGAATAAGTATGTGAACCTGAAAAGTAATCACCACTTGGTAGTGACAATATGGATAGGGTGAAGGGCATCACCAAGAAGCAATGAAAAGATACATTTGCAGTTAAATTTGAAAACCATGATGTTTAATACATATAGTAATAAAGAATACTTTCTCCTGTCTCAAAATTATTTTAGAATTTAAGATAGAAGCTAAAATACCTAGGGATAATGATATGACTATCAAAAATTAAAAATTAAAGGATATTTTGAGTATTATAAATTAAGAATGAGAACTTATTACCCAATGAACAGGGGATAATTCATTATGCTCCATATCCATTGAATTAAAAGACAGGCCCATTACCTGGATAATTTGAAAGTTTAATTTTATTTAAAAGTCTTGTTTCATTCATCAAGCTGAAGGATTAGCTCCCAGAAATATTCCAGGATTGCATATCCCCAACTCTGTAGGAAGTATAGAAAGAATGTTATAAGGGCCACCATCTAAACATTATTATATAAATAATTTAGTACCATTCCATTTGCCTTTGTAGATTTAAAAATGTAAATGGCTTTCTCATATTAGGAAACATCACTTTTCAAAACCCAGGTAAACACAGTATATTGCAAGAGAATAATTATTTTCTTTATTAAAAAAGAAATACTGGATGCTAAGTCCAAAAGACATAAATTATTTTATACTAATAACTACTAATATTTTATTCATTAAAATATAAAGGTCAAAGATTTCAAAATGATCTTTAAATGATTAATAACATGTTGATCTTTTTCTTCTTTCTGTAAACCTTTTTGAGTCTTAACAACACTAAACTATGCAAGCAATATTAAATAGTATATAAACTTGGATTAAAATATTCAAATTTACTAGAATGTGGACATTGGAAAGAATGAAAATAAACAGAAGCAAAAAGCAGCAGATATAAAATTAAGAAAGCAACTAAGAGTGTTTAAAGTGCATATTCATCTGTAGTCTAATGTCTACCATAAACAATGACTCTTCTCAGTAAAACACAAATTGTTCATGAAGGGAAAAAGCATGTTGTATTAGAGCATATTCAACATAATTTTTTTAGTACTAACTTGTGCCTGGAGTATTATTGGTTTTTCTATTAAGAACTTATGCACTTGATAATTTTTTTCATCAAAATTGTATGTACAACTCCATTCAAAAGCAGTTTTTGGTCGTTTTTTTTTTTTTTTTTTTGAGACAGAGTTTTGCTCTTTTCACCCAGGCTGGAGGGCAATGGTGAGAATTTGGCTCACAGCAACCTAGCAACTTTTGCCTCCCAGGTTCAGGTGATTCTCTTGCCTCAGCCTCTCGAGTGGTTAGGACTACAAGCATGCACCACCATGCCTGGCTAATTTTGTGTTTTTAGTAGAGACATGGTTTTGCCATGTTGACCAGGCTGGTCTTGAACTCCTGACTTGAGGTAATCCGCCCACCTTGGCCTCCCAGAGTGCTGGGTATGGGCAAGAGCCACCATACCTGGCCTCAAAAGCAGTTTTTAAAAGCAAACACAATATAACACCAAAGTTGAAAAATCCATGCTCACCCAAGGATGCCAGGTTTAATAAATTATTGATAGAATACTACATCAAAAATAAGACAATAAACCAAAATATACCATTAAAGATGTATCCACTCCTACAACTAGAGATAACTAATCTATCTGGTAGCAAATGATACTTCAATCAGTTTCAGCATGTCTGAAATCTTTAAGGACAAAAGTGATAAAACATGACTTCATTCTTCATTAGCCTCTTAGAACACTTGAAGGAAAATAATTTCTGAAGCACGAAGAGGTAAAGAGGTGTAATCTTTCAAAAAGATATTCAGTGTTCAAAATCCAAGAGTGCAATATCAGGCTGGGTGCGGTGGCTTATGCCTGTAATCCCAGCACTTTGGGAGGCCATGGTGGGTGGATCACCTGAGGTCAGGAGTTCGAGTCCGGCCTGGACAACAGGGTGAAACTCTGACTGTACTAAAAATACAAAAATTAGCCAGGCATGGTGGTGTGCACCTGTAGTCCTAGCTACTTGGGGGGCTGAGACAGGAGAATCGCTTGAACCTGGGAGGTGGAGGTTGCAGTGAACCGAGATCATGCCACCTCACTCCAGCATCAGTAACAGAATGAGATTCCATCTCAAAAAAAGAAAAGAGTGTAATATCGGTATACACAGATAATATACTGAATGAAACAAATAGAATAATTTGAAGAGGTATCTTGATGAACAAGGAGTCATTAGAAAGGTTGTATTTATGTCTTTGAAGGAAATTGCAATGTGAGAAATTAATGCTTTGACTACTACACTAAAAGTTTATTGCTAACATCTATTGAGTTATTAACGTGTGTTAGGCAGAGTACCATATAATTTACAAGTGTTATCTCATTTATTGTAGGTAAAATGTAATTTCGAACTCTGGGAGTATAAATGAATTAGATAGAATAAAATTCTGTTTAAATGGCCATCAGTAAATCGGTGTCTAGGAACAGGGTGATACAGTGCCCAAGTTTTCTATTCTTACTAAATGTTGTGTTTCCTTTTCAATGTTTTCTTGGATATTGCTCTTTTTTGGTGATTTTGATTTTTTTTATTTTAGAAAACTAATAAATTGACTCTTCTTGGTACTGACTCGGGTTTTATAGAAGAAAAAGTAATTAAATTCTGTACATTTACCTTTACCTCATTTTTTCTCTTTTAAATTTACTTTAATTGACATACAATAAATGTACATGTTATGGGGTACAGAGTGATATTTTGATATATTTATGCAATGCGTAAAGATCAAGTCAGAGTCATTATCATATCCATTACCTAAATCACGTATTATTTCTTTGCAGTGAGAATATTCAAAATCTTTTCTTTTAGTTATTTGAAAACACACAATAAATTCCCATTAACTACAGTCACCCAACAGTGCTGTAGAGAACTAGAACTTCTTCCTTCTCTCCAGCTGTAATTTTGTATGTATTAACCACATTTTTCTTATACTCTTCTTTCTCCTACTCTTTCCAGGATATGGTAACCAAAACTCTACTATCTACTTCTACGAGATTAAAAATTTTAGCTTCCATACATAAGTGAGAACACGTAGTTATGTGGTGTTTATATTTCTATGCCAGGCTTATTTCACCTAACATAATGCCCTCCACTTGCATTCTTGTTGCCACAAACAACAGGATTTTGTTCTTTATTATGACTAAATAATATTCCATTATATATGTATGTCACATTTCTTTATCCATTCATCTGTTGATGGACACTTTTGTTGATTCCATATCTTGGCTATTGTGAATAGTGCTGTAATAAACATGGGGGTGCAGGTAACTCTTTGATATACTGATTTTCTTTCCTTTGGATATATACTGAAAACCATATGATTAAATTAATAAACACAATAAAAGCGTTTGGCAAAATTAAATATTCTTACATGACAAAAAACTTCTCAACAATTTAGTATAGAAAATATATGCCTTAACACAAAGGACATAAAGGACAAATCTACAGCTAAGATCATACTGAGTGTGGAAAAGGTGAAAGATTTTACTGTGAACAAGAAAAAGATTTTACTGGAACAAGAAAAGGATGCCTATTCTCACCAATCATATTTCACATAGTGAAAGTCTTAGCCAGGACAATTAGGTGAGAGAAAGAAATAAAGGACATCTGAATTGGAAAGGAGACAGTCAAATTGTCCTTGTTTAAAGACAATGTGATCTTATACATGGAAAAAAATAAGACTCTGCCAAAAGCTTCTCAGGGTGATACATGAAATTAATAAAGTTGCAGGATATAAATCAACATACAAAAATCAGTAGCATTTCTATATATTGACAGTAAACTAGCTGAAACAAGAAATTAAGAAAGCAATTCCTTTTACAATAGCTACAAAAATGTACTTAGAAATAAATTTAACCAAGTAAAAGATTTCGACAGCAAAAATGACAAATATTAATGAAAGAAATTAAAGAAAACATAAAAAAGCAAAGACATCCACGTTTATAGATTGAAATAATATTCTTAAAATGACCCACTATCCTATGTGATTTACAAATTTAGTACAATCACTAGCTTGTATTTTTAAAAGCACCTTTGCTGCATATTCTTAACATATTCAATGACAATGCCTGGATTTAAGTTTGAGGTATTATTATATCTATTTTATACTGGGCACAATATAATGTTATCAGAGGTAACGGTTTTGATTGGTCCTAGGTCATACAGTAATATATACATTGTCATTTATAGACATGCTATCTTTTAATACTCAGGCATTTAGAAAGTTCATTTAGACAAAGTTATAAAAACTTGCCTTCCTTTCTGCCTATATCACCTAAAAATCCTAATTTAAGAGGTAATAACATTTTTTATTTGATATACAATTTATCAACACAATAAAAATCTAACAATTATCATGTGCAGAGTGTGAAAATCTCATCAGATTAAGGAACACAAAGACATCTTTTTCATATTTTGAATGTAAAACTGTTTTGGAAACTGTTATTTTTAGAAACAGTTAAAAACATTGTTTCATTAGTTTTTCATGTAAAATTGTGACAACCAGCATGAAATAACTGTCATCACAGAAGCATGGTATATTCGATTCCGAAACATATTCTTTGTAAGTTTTAATATATTTATGTATTATTTGTACTTAATTGTAACCCATAATGTACAGATATTATTTTTCCTTCAACTCTTAAGAATATTCTTAAATAATAAAATTAAAATTAATGAATTATAATTTTTGTTGGTTGGGAAAAAGACACACACGTGATAGTGCATCACTTCACCTCATCATTTCATCTCATTTCATCTTATCCCATCTCATCTCATCATTTCATATCATCTCATCATTTCATCTCATCGTTTCATCAAATCTCATCTCATCTCATTTCCATTTCATTTTCATTATTTCATCATTTCATTTCACTATTTCATTTCATTTCATGTAATTTCATTTATTTCATTCTGTCATTTTATATCATCTCATTTCATTTCATGTCATATTTTTTATATCATTTTTCATATCATTTTTCATCTCATTTCATCTCAATTCATTTCATCTCATCATTTCATCTCACCTCATCATTTCCTCCTTTCTTTTCAACATTTCATCTCATTTCTTCTCATCTCATTTCAATTTTATTTCATTATTTCATCTCATTTCATTATTTCACCTAATTTCATTATTTCATCTCATCTCATCTCAATTCATCTCATCTCATCTCATCATTTCATCTCATCATTTTTCATCTCATCATTTTTCATCTCATCATTTAATCTCATTTCATTTCATCTCATTTCAGCTCATTTCATGTCACATCTCTTCATCATTTCAACATTTCATTTCATCTCATTTCATCTCATCTTTCAATTTCATTTCAATATCATCAATTCATCATTTCATTTCATTATTTCATTTCATTTCAATTCATCTCATCATTTTTCATCTCATCATCTCATTTCATCATTTCATCTCATTTCTTCTCATTTCATCTCATTTTATCTCATTTCATCTCATCTCATTTCAATTTCATTTCATTATTTCATTTCACTTCATTTCATTTCATCTCATCACTTTATCTCATCTCATTTCATCAAATCATTTCTTCTCATCTCATCTCATTTCATCATTTCATCTCGTTTCATCTCATTTCATCTCATCTCACCTCATCTCATCATTTCATCTCATCCTTTCATTTCATCTCATCGTTTCATCTCACCTCAGCATTTCATCATTTCATCTCATCATTTATTTCATCTCATTTTATCTCATTTCATCTCATATCTCAATTCAATTTCCTTTCATTATTTCATTTCATCTCATTCATTTCATCTCATTTCATTACATCTCATCATTTCCTCTCATCATTACATCTCATCTCATCTCATCATTTCATCTCATCATTGCATCTCATCATTATATCTCATCATTCATCTCATTTCATCTCATCATTTCCATTTCATTATTTCATTTCATCATTTAATTTCATCATCTCATTTAATTTCACCTCATTTCATTATTTCATTTCATTTTTTCATTTCATTGTCATTTCATTTCATCTCATTACATTTCATCTAATTTCATTTCACCTCATTTCATCTCATCATTTCATCTTTTCATCTCATTTCATCTCATCATCTCATCAACTCTTTTCATCTTATCTCATCATTTCATTTCATCTCATCATTTCATCTCATCTCGTATCTTATCTCATTTCAATTTCATTTCATTATTTCATGTCATCTCATCTCATCTCATCTCATCATTTCATGTCATCATTTCATCTCATCACATCTCATTTCATCATTTTATTTCATCATCTCATCATTTCATCTCATCTCATTTCGATTTTATTTCAATTTCATTTCACTATTTCATTTCATCTCATCATTTCATCTCACCATTTCATTTCATCATCTCATCTCATCATTTCATTTCATCATTCATCTCATCATTTCATATCATCATTTTATCTCATCTATCATTTCATCTCATTTCATCTCATCCCATTCCATCATTACATCTCATTTCATCTCATTTTATGTCATCATTTCATGTCATCATTTCATCACATCTCATCTCATCATTTCATCATTTCATCTCATTTCAACTCATTGCATCTCAGCTCATCATTTCCATTTCATTATTCCATTTCATCATTTCATTCATTATGTCATTTCATCTCATCATATTTCATCTCATCTCATCATTTCATCTCATTTTATCTCATCTCATCATTTCATCATTTCATCTCATCATTTCTTCTCATCTCATCATTTCCATTTCATTTTCATTTCATTATTTCATCATTTCATTATTTTATTTCATCTCATTTCATTATTTCATTTCATTATGTCATTTCATTTCATCTCATTACATTTCATCTAATTTCATTTCACCTCATTTCATCTCATCATTTCATTTCATCTCATCATTTCATCTTTTCATCTCATTTCATCTCATCATCTCAACCCTTTTCATCTTATCTCATCATTTCATCATTTCATCTCATCATTTCATCTCATCTCGTATCTTATCTCATTTCAATTTCATTTCATTATTTCATGTCATCTCATCTCATCTCATCATTTCATGTCATCATTTCATCTCATCACATCTCATCATTTCATCATTTTATTTCATCTCATCATTTCATCTCATCTCATTTCGATTTTATTTCAATTTCATTTCACTATTTCATTTCATCTCATCATTTCATCTCACCATTTCATTTCATCATCTCATCTCATCATTTCATTTCATCATTCATCTCATCATCTCATCATTCATCTCATCATTTCATATCATCATTTTATCTCATCTATCATTTCATCTCATTTCATCTCATCCCATTCCATCATTACATCTCATTTCATCTCATTTTATGTCATCATTTCATGTCATCATTTCATCACATCTCATCATTTCATCTCATCATTTCATCATTTCATCTCATTTCAACTCATTGCATCTCAGCTCATCATTTCCATTTCATTATTCCATTTCATCATTTCATTCATTATGTCATTTCATCTCATCATATTTCATCTCATCTCATCATTTCATCTCATTTTATCTCATCTCATCATTTCATCATTTCATCTCATCATTTCTTCTCATCTCATCATTTCCATTTCATTTTCATTTCATTATTTCATCATTTCATTATTTTATTTCATCTCATTTCATTATTTCATTTCATTATGTCATTTCATTTCATCTCATTACATTTCATCTAATTTCATTTCACCTCATTTCATCTCATCATTTCATCTCATCATTTCATCTTTTCATCTCATTTCATCTCATCATCTCAACCCTTATCTTATCTCATCATTTCATCATTTCATCTCATCATTTCATCTCATCTCGTATCTTATCTCATTTCAATTTCATTTCATTATTTCATGTCATCTCATCTCATCTCATCATTTCATGTCATCATTTCATCTCATCACATCTCATCATTTCATCATTTTATTTCATCATCTCATCATTTCATCTCATCTCATTTCGATTTTATTTCAATTTCATTTCACTATTTCATTTCATCTCATCATTTCATCTCACCATTTCATTTCATCATCTCATCTCATCATTTCATTTCATCATTCATCTCATCATCTCATCATTCATCTCATCATTTCATATCATCATTTTATCTCATCTATCATTTCATCTCATTTCATCTCATCCCATTCCATCATTACATCTCATTTCATCTCATTTTATGTCATCATTTCATGTCATCATTTCATCACATCTCATCATTTCATCTCATCATTTCATCATTTCATCTCATTTCAACTCATTGCATCTCAGCTCATTTCCATTTCATTATTCCATTTCATCATTTCATTCATTATGTCATTTCATCTCATATTTCATCTCATCTCATCATTTCATCTCATTTTATCTCATCTCATCATTTCATCATTTCATCTCATCATTTCTTCTCATCTCATCATTTCCATTTCATTTTCATTTCATTATTTCATCATTTCATTATTTTATTTCATCTCATTTCATTATTTCATTTCATTATGTCATTTCATTTCATCTCATTACATTTCATCTAATTTCATTTCACCTCATTTCATCTCATCATTTCATTTCATCTCATCATTTCATCTTTTCATCTCATTTCATCTCATCATCTCAACCCTTTTCATCTTATCTCATCATTTCATCATTTCATCTCATCATTTCATCTCATCTCGTATCTTATCTCATTTCAATTTCATTTCATTATTTCATGTCATCTCATCTCATCTCATCATTTCATGTCATCATTTCATCTCATCACATCTCATCATTTCATCATTTTATTTCATCATCTCATCATTTCATCTCATCTCATTTCGATTTTATTTCAATTTCATTTCACTATTTCATTTCATCTCATCATTTCATCTCACCATTTCATTTCATCATCTCATCATTTCATTTCATCATTCATCTCATCATCTCATCATTCATCTCATCATTTCATATCATCATTTTATCTCATCTATCATTTCATCTCATTTCATCTCATCCCATTCCATCATTACATCTCATTTCATCTCATTTTATGTCATTTCATGTCATCATTTCATCACATCTCATCTCATCATTTCATCTCATCATTTCATCATTTCATCTCATTTCAACTCATTGCATCTCAGCTCATTTCCATTTCATTATTCCATTTCATCATTTCATTCATTATGTCATTTCATCTCATCATATTTCATCTCATCTCATCATTTCATCTCATTTTATCTCATCTCATCATTTCATCATTTCATCTCATCATTTCTTCTCATCTCATCATTTCCATTTCATTTTCATTTCATTATTTCATCATTTCATTATTTTATTTCATCTCATTTCATTATTTCATTTCATTTCATCTCATTACATTTCATCTAATTTCATTTCACCTCATTTCATCTCATCATTTCATTTCATCTCATCATTTCATCTTTTCATCTCATTTCATCTCATCATCTCAACCCTTTTCATCTTATCTCATCATTTCATCATTTCATCTCATCATTTCATCTCATCTCGTATCTTATCTCATTTCAATTTCATTTCATTATTTCATGTCATCTCATCTCATCTCATCATTTCATCTCATCATTTCATCTCATCACATCTCATCATTTCATCATTTTATTTCATCATATCATTTCATCTCATCTCATTTCGATTTTATTTCAATTTCATTTCACTATTTCATTTCATCTCATCATTTCATCTCACCATTTCATTTCATCATCTCATCTCATCATTTCATTTCATCATTCATCTCATCATCTCATCATTCATCTCATCATTTCATATCATCATTTTATCTCATCTATCATTTCATCTCATTTCATCTCATCCCATTCCATCATTACATCTCATTTCATCTCATTTTATGTCATCATTTCATGTCATCATTTCATCACATCTCATCATTTCATCTCATCATTTCATCATTTCATCTCATTTCAACTCATTGCATCTCAGCTCATCATTTCCATTTCATTATTCCATTTCATCATTTCATTCATTATGTCATTTCATCTCATCATATTTCATCTCATCTCATCATTTCATCTCATTTTATCTCATCTCATCATTTCATCATTTCATCTCATCATTTCTTCTCATCTCATCATTTCCATTTCATTTTCATTTCATTATTTCATCATTTCATTATTTTATTTCATCTCATTTCATTATTTCATTTCATTATGTCATTTCATTTCATCTCATTACATTTCATCTTTCATCTCATAATTTCATCCATCATTTCATTTCATTTCATCATTTCATCTCATGATTTCATCTCATCTCATTATCTCATTTCATCTCATTATTTCATCTCATTTCATCTCATCTCATTTCATCATTTCATTTCACCATTACATCTCATCATTTCAACTCATCTCATTTCAATTTCATCATTACATTTCATAATTTCCTTTCATTATTTCATTTCATTTCATCTCATTTCATTATTTCATTTCATCTCATTTTTCATCTCATCATTTTTCATCTCATTTCATTTCATCATTTCATCTCATCGTTCATCTCATCTCATCATTTTATCTCATTATTTCATCTCATATCATCTCATTACAATTTCATTATTTCATATCATTTCATTATTTCATTTCATCTCGTTTCATCTCATTTCATCCATCATCTCATTTCATCTCATTTTATCTCATCTCCTCTCCTTTCAATTTCTTTTCAATTTTGTCATTTCATCTCATCATTTCATCTCATCATTTCTACTCACCATTTCATCTCAAAATTTCATCTCATCATCTCATCTCATCATTTCGTCATTTCATCTCATTATTTCATCTCAAGTCATCATTTCATCTAAGTGAAATGATGTAATGGAATCATGAAATGAAATGGATAGGATGCCCTCACTGATGTTAAATTTAAAAATTGTTTCTTTTCATGTATGCATTTTTATATTTATATTTACTTATAGTTATTTTTACTTTTTATTTATATTTTTACTTATTTCTTTATTTATAAACAAGGTCCTGTTCTGTGGCCTAGGCTGGAATGCAGTGGTGCATTCACAGTTCACTGAAGCCTCAAGCAAACCTCCCACCTTAGCCTCCCAGGTAGCTGGGACCCCAGGTGCGCACCACCACACCTGGTTAATATTTTATTATTTGCAGAGATGGAGTCTTGCTATTCTGCCCAGGCTGGTCTCAAACTCCTGGGCTCAAGCAATCCTCCTGCATTGGCAACCCAAAATGCTGGGAGGACAGATATGAGCCACAGTGCCCAACCTATTTATTTATTTATTTATTTATTTAATAAAGACAAGGTCTCACTATGTTGCCCAGGCTGGTCAACTCCTGGACTCAAATGATTCTCCAAACTTGGCCTCTCAAAATGTTGGGATTACAGGTATGAGCCACCATGCTTGGCCTAAAAATAGTATTATATTTTTGTATCATATAATTTTCAATTAGGTATTATGAATATTCTGTACAGGAAACACACCCTTAATTACATAGGAATAAACATTTGTTACACTGAGAAAAATCTAATAGAGCTAAAAATAAAAATTAATTTGGAAAGGTCATTAGATACTGATACATTCTTACGTTTATACATTCTTTCATATATTCATATATCCTTTTAACAGTATCAATGGTTTGGAGTTACGTGTACAAAGCCATGACCCATATGTAATACAACTAATAACAGGCACTTACAATTCAAGGCATATTATATACAAAGCTTTAACTTCTTATCAAAATATTTTACTTTTTTCTTTCTGTTTTGGCAGATACTATGAACACAACATTCAACTCACAGACACCATGGAGCCCTTACTAAGCATAAAGTACTGTGAAAGGCCAGGGCTAGGACAGAACTGAGACAGGGCCAGGGATAGGACAGAACTGGGGCAGGGTCATGGCCAGAGAAAAACCAGGGGCAGGGTCACAGCCAGGGACATGAGAGGACCAAGGCCAGGTCCAGAAGCAGGGAAGAACCAGGGCCAGGGCAGGGACATGGCAGGGCCAGGGCCATGGCAGGATCAGGGTCAGCAGAAGGCCAGGGCAGGGCTAGGGTGGCACAGGGCCAAGGCAGGGCAGGGTCAGTGTAGAGCAAGGAACGGGCCAGGGTATGGCAGGGCAGGGACAGGGAGGTCCAGGGCCAGAGTCAGGTCCAGGACATGGACAGGGCAGGGCCAGAAACATGGCAGGACCAGAAAGGGGACAGGGCAAGGGCAAGGCCAGAGAAGGACCATGGGAAAAACATGGCCAGGGAGGGTCCAGGGCAAGGGCAAGTCCAGGGCAGAACCAGAGCCAGAGCAGGCCAAAGGCAGGGCCAGGGCAGGGCAAGGCCAGGATAGGGCAGGGCCAGTGTAGGGTGAGGGTAGGACCAGGGTGAGTTCAGGGCCAGGGCAGGACTAAGATAGCACAGGGCTAAGGCAGGGCCAAAAGGAGGGGCCAGGGCCAAGCATGGCCAGTGTCAGACCTGGGGATTGTCAGGGTCAGGGTCAAGGCTGGTCCAGGGACAGGGCCAGAGCAAGGGCAGGGCCAGGGAGAAAGCAGAACCAGAGAGGATCCAGAGCAAGGCCAGGGTCAGGGCAGAACCAGGACCAGGATAAGGCAAAGCCAAGGCCAGGGCAGGGCAAGGCCAGGGCAGGGCAAGACCAGGGAAGGGCAAGGCCAGGGTAGAAAAGGCCAGGGTAGGAGAAGGCCATGGTAGGGCCAAGGCCAAGGCAGGGCAGGGCTAGGGTAGCACAGGGCACGGCCAAAAACAGAGCAGGGCCATAGCAGTGGCAGGACTAGCAACAGGGCTAGGGCAAGCGCTGGACCAGAGCATGGTGGGGACAATATAGGGCCAGGACAGAGGATGGCAAGGCAGGTCCAGGGCCATTTCATGGACTCAGTAGGCCTGGGGTCAGGCCAGGGCAGGGCAAAGGCAAGGCCAGGAAGAAGGCAGGGCCGGGGCCAAGGCAGTGCCAGGGCAGGGCAGGACCAGTGCAGGGCCAATGCAGGGTGAGGGCAAGGCCAGGGCATGGAAGGGCAGGGCAGGATCAAGGAAGGGCCAGGAGAGGGCCACGGCAGGGTCATGGCGAGAACAAGGGTATGGCTGGGGTCAGGAATATGGTAGGATGAGGGCTGGGCCCAGGCTGGGGCACGCAGGGCAGAGCATGGTCTGTGCAAGGCATGGCCAGAGCCAGGCCATAGAGATGGGAGGGCAACACCAAGGCAGAGTCAGGGTAGATCCAGGGCTGAGCAGAGTCAGGGCAGGTCCAGAGTCGAGGCAGAGCTAGGGCCCAAGCAGGGCCATGGTAGCACCAGGGCAGAGGAGGGCAGGGCAATGCAGGACTGGGCCATGGCAGTGCCTGGTCAACTCCGGGGCAGGGCCAGAAGCAGGACAGGGCCAGGGCCAATGCTCAGGCCAGGGACAGGGCATGACAGGACGTGCCAGAGCAGGGCTGGGCCAACGTTGGGGCAGGGCAAATCAGACCAGGACACCTCCAAGTCCAGCTCTGGCCCTGCCTTGGCCCTGGCCCCTTCCTGGCCTGACCTTGTCCCTGGCCCTGCCCTATCCATGCCCTGTGTGTTTGACCAGTGTTTTATAACCAGAATCCTACAAGAAACTTAAATTAGTTCTTTTTGTGCATTTTTAGTAGAGATGGGGTTTCACAATGTTGCCCAGGCTGGTTCCAAACTCCTGAGCTCAAGCCATCTGCCTGCCTTG
Source organism: Homo sapiens (assembly GCF_000001405.40). NCBI lineage: Eukaryota > Metazoa > Chordata > Mammalia > Primates > Hominidae > Homo > Homo sapiens. The sequence goes on along the minus strand of NC_000009.12, from coordinate 63,392,777 downwards.
GCCTCCCAAAGTGCTGGGATTACAGGAGTAATCTGGCCAAGTATTTACCTTCTTTTTGCCTGTTTCCTACATTTGGAAAATGGGGATGCTTTAAGTACCTAGCATATAGAATTATTATGAGAATCAATGCCTCACATATTTACATGTTGATAAAATTATACTCATAGAACACTACTGGAAGCAAAGATAGTATTAGTTAAAATTTAGTGATTACTGCAAGTATTATTACTATTACAAACAACATAGTATAGACATTACTACTACTATAGTTATCTTAAAAATCTAAAATAAAAATTTTAGTAATAGCCTAAAGTAATCTCTCCTGCTCTGCCCTGGCTCAGCCCTAGTGCCGGCTCTGCCCCTAGTCCTACTACATCCCTGGCCCTGACCCTTCCCTGGTCCAGCCGCTGCCCTGGCCCTTCCCATCTTCAGGCCTTAACATGGCCCTACCCTGGTCCTGACCCTGCCCTGGTCTGGTCCTGACCCTGGCCCTACCCCAGAGAAGGGGTATGGCAGAGCCAGGGAAGGGCCGGGGCAAATAAGGGACAGGACACATCCAAATCCAGGAACGGGCCAGGGCCATGACAGAGCCAGGGCGAGTCCTTGGCAGGGCCAGGTTCCAGGCCAGGACCAGGAAAATGTCATGGCAGGGTCACTGTATGGCCAAGGTCCAGGCCAAAGCCAAGGCAGTGGCAGGGTCAGGTCTGCATAAGGGCAGGACCAGAGCCAGTGATATGGCAGGGCCAGGGCCAGGGCCAGGGCTGTGCCAGGACAGAACAAGAGCAGAGCAGGGCAGGACCACAGCCAGGCCATAGAGAGAGTAGGGCAAATGCCAAGGCAATGCCAGGGTAGTGCCAGGGCTGAGGCAAGGTCAGGGAAGGTCCAGGGCTGAGTCAAGGCTAGAACCAAGATGGGGCAAAGGCCGGGGCAGATCTAGGGCACAAGCGGGGCAGATCTAGGGCACAAGCAGGGCAAGCTAGGGCAGGGCAATGGCAAGACCAGGCCATGGCAGGGCCAGCCCAGGATAGAACAGGGCACAGGCAGGGCAGGGCCAGGGCCACGGCTGGGGCAGGACAAGGACCAGGACCGGGGTCCAGGCCAGGGCAAGGGTATGGCCAGGGCAGAGGTAGGGCCAGAGCCAGGGTCTGGGCAGGACCAAGGCAGGTCTATTGCAGGGCCAGGGTTCAGACCAGGGCCAGAGCAGGGCTGGGACAGGGCCAGGGCCAGAACCAGGAAAGGGCAATGTCAGGACAAGGGCCATGGCAGGACCAGCAACGGGGCTAGGACCAGGACAGGGACAGGGACAGGGTCAGGGCTAGGGCCAGAATAGCATGCCAGGGTAGAGCCAGGCCAAATTAGGGCCAGGGCTGGGCCAGGGTATGGCCTTAAGTAGTGAAGGGCCAGGGCCAGGGTCCATGCCAGTGCCAGCGCCGGTCCAGGGCAGACGCAGGGCCATGGCCAGGTCTAGGACAAGGCTGTGGCAGGGCCAAGGTCTGGGTCAGGGTCAGCATAAGACCAGGACAGAGCCAGGGGAGGGACAGGGCCATGGTAAGACCAGGTTAAACCATGGACAAGACACCTGCAAATCCACTTCAGGGCCAGGGTCAGGGCAGGGCCAGTTCAGGGCCAGGGTAAGGGCTGCCAGGGTCATTGGCAGGGCCAGGGCCATGGCAGGATCAGGGTCAGGAGCAGGGGTCAATGCCAGGCCAAGGCCACAGATAGGACCAGGTCTGTGCTAGGGCCAGTGTGAGGGCCAAGACGGGGTCAGGGCAGGGCCAAAGGGAGGGCAGGGCCAGGGCAGGGTGGAGCAGGCCCAGGGTAGCACAGGGTTAAGGTAGGGCACGACCAACCAGGGCAGGTCTATGGCTGGGGCCGGGGCAGGGCCAGGGCCGGGGCAGGGCCAGAGCCAGGGCAGGGCCAAGACAGTGGCAGCTCCAGGGCAGGGCCAGGGTTAGGACCACGGACATGTCCAAGGCCAGTGCCAGGGCAAGGGCAAGGGCAGGGGCAGGGGCAGGGTCATCTAAGAATTAGGGACAAAGCCAGGCCCAGAGCTGGGCCAGGACCGGTACCTGCAGGGCTAGGGTCTGGGCCAGGGCCACAACCAGGTCTGTGCTATGGCCAGGTCCAACACAGTGCTCTGGTAAGGCTAGGGTGAAGGCCAAGGTAGGGCCAGGGCAGGGTCAAAGCCAGGCTAGGGCCAAGGCAGGGCCAGGAAAGCATAGGGCCAGGGCAGGGCAGGGCCAGGCCAGTGCCAAGACCTGGGCAGGGCCAGGGCCAGGGCCATAGAAACGGCCTGGGCAGGACCAGGTTCGGGGCAGGAGCAAAACAAGGGCAAGGACAGTGCAGGTTCTTGGCACAGCCAGGGTCCAGGACAGTGTCAGGGCAGGGCCAAGGCAGGGTCTGGGCCATGGTAAGACCAGCAACAGGGCTGGGGCTAGGTCAGTGACAGGACCAGAGTCAGGGCAAGGGCCAGAGCAGGGCAAGGCCAGGGTAGGGCCAGGCATTTCAGGGTCAGGGCCATGGGAGAACCAGGGCAAGGTCTCAAGCAGGGAAGGGCCAGGGCCAGGACAGGTCCAGGGCAGGGTCATGACAGGGCCAGGGGCTGCATTAGGGCAAGGGCAGGGCCAGAGCAAGGTAAGGGTCAGGGCCAAGGCTAGGGTAGGGACAGGGCAAGAAATATGGCAGGACCAGGGGCAATGCCAAGGCCAAGGCTGAGTCAGGGCTGAGTCAGGGCAGGGCAGGGCATGGTATGGCCAGTGCAGGACAGGACAAGAGCCGGTCCACAGAGAGAGCAGGGCTGATGCCAAGAATGAGCCAGGCTAGTGCCAAGGCTGAGGCAGTGTCAGAGCATGTCCAGGGCAGGGCCGGGGCCAGGGCCAGAACCGAGCCAGGGCACAGCCAAGGCAGGGTAGGGCGGGGAAATAGCGTGGCCGGGTCAGTACTGGGACAGGGCAGAGCAGGGCAAGGCGATGGTAGGGGCAGGGCAGAGACAGGCCAATGCAGAGCCATGTTACACCGGGGCCAGGACACCTCCAAGTCCACTTCAGGGCCAAAGCTATGGCAGGACAAAGACCAGGGCCAGGGTCAGAGCCAGGTCTGTGCTGGGCCTAGCGAAGACTAGGGTGAGGGCCAAGGCAAGGCCAGGGCAGGGTCAAAGGCAGAGTAGAGCCAGGGCAGGGTGATGACACATCCAGAGCACAGCAGGGCAGGGTGATGGCAAGACCAGGGGCAGACCACTGCCAGCTCAGGGCCAGGGAAAGGCCAGTGCAGAGCCAGGAAAGGGTCTGGGTCTGGGTCAGGGCCAGGAACAAGGCAGAGCAGGGCCAGGGCCATGGCAGAGTCAGGGCAGGTCCTTGACAGGACCAGGTTCCAGGCCAGGGCCAGGGCAGCAGCAGGGGCAGGGCCTGGATAAGGGCAGGGTCAGGGATATGGCAGGACCAGGGCTAGGGCCAGGGCCAGGCCATAGTGAGGGCAGGGCAAAAGCCAAGGCAGGGTCAGGGCAGGTCCAGGGCAGGTCCAGGAAGCGGCCAGCACCAAGCGGGGCCAAGGCACAACCAGCGCAGGGTAAGGCAGGGCAATGGCACCACTGGGCCATGACAGGGCCAGGTCAGTGCCAGGAGAGGGCAGAACAGGAAGGCCCATGGTGGGGCCAGGGCAGGGATGGGCCAAAGCAGAGCCAGGACATTTCCAAGGCCAGGTCAGGGCCAGAACAGGAGCAGGACCATGACCACTGGCAGGGCCAGTGCCATGACAGGACCAGGGTCAGGACAAGGGGCAGGGCCAGAGCCAGGGCCAGAGCCAAGGTCAGGCCAGTGCAGGTTCAGGGCAGGGCCAGTGCCAGGGCAAGACCAGGGCAGGGACAGGGTAGCACGGGGCCAAGACAGGGTCAGGATGGGACCAGAGCAGGACAGGGCTGAGAGTCCAGGTAACAGTAGGGCAGGTACAGGGCAAGGCAGGGCAGTACAGGGCCAGATCCACGGCAGGCACAGGGCAAAGCCAGGCCCATTGCCAATGCACCAGCCCTCCCTACAAGGCTCCTACTACCTGGCCACTGCTGCAGCCCGTCCATCACTGTAAGCCTGACTCCCAACCCTGCCTGCAGCCGCCCGCCCTCCTAGCGTGGCCACTCTCCTACCGCTCTGGCGCACTGCAGTCTCCGTCACTGCCACCCACCCGCAGCGAGGTGAGCCGTGGTGTTGCAGGCTCTAGGTGTCTCCTCCTCCTCCTGGCATGGAGCAGCTGGGCGGGCAAAGCCAGAAAAGCCTAGAGGAAGTTGTGAGGAGTGGAAGCGTTAGAGCCTCAAGTTGTCGTGCCGGCCACTGGGTGGCAGGGGCCAGTTTCAGCAAAGGCACTCACACCCACCCTCCAAAGTCCAGCCTCTCCTTTTGGCCCAAGCTGGCCGGGAACTGGGGTCTGGGGTGGGTGCTGGAGACACCACAGCACCCAGCTCCCCACTCCACAGGAACCACTGGGCCCACCGGGGCTGCACTCCTCGGGGAACAGGAGAAGCAGAAAAATTCAGACCCAGCCAGCCCTCCGCACCCAGGTGCCAATTCCTGTTCCGGATGCCTCCACACACAGGGCCCTGTTCCCCGTGGTGTCCCCAGGGGTGCCTGGCAGCCTCTGAGGCACAGACCCAGAGTGCACAGGCCCAGGAACCACGGTGGGTGTGGGGGCTCTGCCATGCTCAGGATTCCCATGCAAACGCTGCGTACCCTGCCGCACTCCAGTATGACCAAGAGTGGTTCGCCCTCTGGAGTGTGGAGTCAGGGAGAGGAGAACCACTCCTTCCTTGGATGCCAACTCTGTTGACTGCCGCCAGCAGTGCAGCCCCTGATAGCACCGAACTCGCCCCCGCTCCACGGCTAGTCCTGCCCTCAATAGCGCCCCCCACCTCCGTCCCCCAATGCCGCCAGTAGCATATACCCGATATGCCCTAACCTGTCCTCCTCCATGGGCATTGCAGCCCCAGAAAGCACCCATAACCCACCCTCCCTGCTGTGGGCAGTGCAGCCCTGTGCAGTGCTACCAACCAGTACCCCTAATGCAGGCAATGACACCCTGGATAGCGCCCCCAACCCACCCCACACTGCGAAAGGTGCAGCCCTGGATAGCCCCTGTCCTACCACTCTGGTCATGCTGCAGTCTCTGTCACTGCCACCACCAACTACAGTGAGGCAAGCCAGTGGGCTGCAGGCTCTAGCTCCCAGCAGCCAGGCATGGAGCAGCTCTTGCTGATGGCCGGCTCCTACCACACTGACCATGCTGCTGTCTGTCTCCGTGGCAATCTTCTTTCACTACAAAGAAATAAAACTAGGTATCAATAAGAAAAGTAATTTTGGAAACAATACAATCACATGGAAGTTAAACACTACCCTCCTGAATAAATGACCTGAATAAATAAAGGTCAATGAAGATACTAAGACAGAAATTCAAAAATTTCATGAAACAAAGGGTAATGAAAACACAGTATACCAAAACTTGTTACGCAGAAAGCAGTACAAAGGCAGAGATTTACAGCTATAAGTGCCTACCATCCAAACAAAAGAAAAACTTCAAATAAACAATACATCTTAAAGAACTAGTAAAGTAAGAACAAACTAAACCGAAAATAAGAAAATAAATAAGATCGTAGCAGAAACAAAATTGAAATAAAAAACACACAAGATTAAACGAAAAGTTGGTTTTCTGGAAAGCTAAACAAAATTGACAAACTTTCAACCAGCCTAAGAAAAGAGACAAGATTCAAATAAATAAAATCAACAGATTAAAAAAAGGAGACATTACAACTAATACTTCAGAAATTCAAAGGATCATAACTGGCTATTATATGCCAATAAATTGGAAAGCCTAGTAGAAATTGGCAAATTCCTAGATGCATACAACCTACTTAGGTTAAACAATGAAAACATCCAAGACCAGAACAGATTGGTAACAAGTAATGAGATTGAAGCCATCAGAAAAAGTCTCCCAGTAAAGAAAAGCCCAGGAACTGATGATGTCTTCACTGCTGATGGCTTCACACCAAACAATTTAAAGACCTAGTACAAATCCTGCTCAAATTATTTTGAAAAACAGGAGGGAATACTTCCAAACTTATTCTATGAGACCATTATTACTGTGATACGAAAATCAGATAAAAGCATCAAAGAAGAAAACTACAGGACAGGATCTCTAATATTGATGCAAAAATCCTCAACAGAATACCAGTGAATCAAATTCAGTAATACATTAAAAAGATAATTCATCATGATCAACTGGGATGTATCCCTGGAATGCAAGAGTCACTCAACATACAATGTGATACATCATATCAACCAAATAAACGACAAAAACCGTATGATCATGTCAACTGAAACCAAAAAAGCATGTGATGAAATTCAACATCCCTTCATGCTATAAATCCTCAAAGAAACAGGCACAGAAGAAACATACCGCAACATAATAAAAACTACAGGAAAGACACCCACAGCTAGAATCATATGGAATGGGGAAAAATGGAAAGCTTTTCCTCTAAGATCTGGAACATGATAAGGATGCCCCCTGTCACCACTGTTGTTTAACATAGTACCAGAAATCCTAGCTAAAGCAATCAGTGCAGCCCCTGATATGGCCCCCAACCCACCCTGCCCCCTACCACCAGCAGTGTCGCCCCCCGCAAATAGCACACCCAACATACCCTAACCGCCCCGCCTCCCCGCACCATGGGCATTACAGCAGCCCATAGCGCCCTCAACCCAAAACCGCCACCCCCCCCCACAGCCGCACAGTGCAGCCCCAGATAGCACACTTAACCCACCTCACTGTTGCCAGCAATACAGTCTGGGATAGTGCCCCCAACCGGCTCCCCGCCAAAGGCAGTGCAGCCCCGGTTTGAGCCCCCAAACCGCCCCCCGCCCCCGGTGCAGGCAGCACAGCCCCAGATAGCACACCCAACCAACCACCCAAGACGGGCAGTGACGCCTGAGATAGGGCTCCCAACCCGTCCCAGGCCACCAGCAGTGCAGCCTGGATGGCGCACTTACCCCAATGCCTTTCTACACTCTGGCTGGCTGCAGTGTCCATCGCTGCCACCAACCACAAACATGGCAAACAGGAAGGATTTTATTCACCGTCGATGCGGCCCCGAGTTGTCCCAAAGCGAGGCTGTGCCCCAAGGTCTATGCAGAGCAGAACGCAGCTCCGCCCTCGCAATGCTCTCCGGGTCTGTGCCGAGGAGAACGCAGCTCCGCCCTTGCAAAGGCACACAGCGCCGGTGCCGGCGTGGCGGAGAAGCGGACAGCGGCGGAGAGGCGGTCGGCGGCGGCGCGGCGGAGAGGCGGTCGGCGGCGGCGCGGCGGAGAGGCGGGCGGCGGCGGCGCGGCGGAGAGGCGGGCGGCGGCGGCGCGGCGGAGAGGCGGGCGGCGGCGGCGCGGCGGAGAGGCGGGCGGCGGCGGCGCGGCGGAGAGGCGGGCGGCGGCGGCGCGGCGGAGAGGCGGGCGGCGGCGGCGCGGCGGAGAGGCGGGCGGCGGCGGCGAGGCGGGCGGCGGCGGCGAGGCGGTCGGCGGCGGCGCGGCGGAGAGGCGGACAGCGGCGGAGAGGCGGACAGCGGCGGAGAGGCGCACAGCGGCGGAGAGGCGCACAGCGGCGGCGAGGCGCACAGCGGCGGCGCAGGCGCGGAGAGGCGCAGGCCCAGGCTCCACTCCCCAGCTGTGAAAGGGTAAGAGCTGAGGGTGGCTGAGACTCGGGGTTGTTCAGGGCGGGGTGGGCTCTGGACCCAGCAGGCCCGGCACCCCGGTCAGGGCTCCAGGGGAGGCCAGGTGGGCGAAGGCCAAGAAGGGGCCGGGGCTGGTCAGGAAGGGCTCCTGGTGACCAGAGCACTTTGCGTGAGCCAGCGTGGGAGGAAGGTGGGCTGGATGAGCCAGGGAGGTGCCGGGAGGGTCCTTGGCAGAGGCGACCACCTCCATCAGCCCCCAGGCCACTGAACCCTGGGTAGCGAGAACCGACAGGGGAGGCTGCAGACAGAGGAGTGGAGGCTCCCCGGCTTTGGGGGCTCTGAGTAGAAGCATCTAGGGGGTCCCTCAAGAGGCCCCCAAACGCTTCCCCATGGTGAGAAAAGAAGGCGCAGAGAGGGGCACGGCGCCGGCGCCAGGGCAGAGGGGCGCACAGCAAGATTTGCTGTGATTTCTTTTATTGCCCCAAGTGTACTTCATCTTGGTAGATTTCTATTGGCTTTAAAAATGTGTGTGTTTTGCTGTTGGGGAGTGGGGTGTTATACGGATGTCACATTTTGCTGGTTGACTGTTCAGATCTTTTGTCAATCCTTGCTCCTTTTCTGCCTAGTTTCACTCTGTCACTTACACTGGAGTGCGGTGGCACGAACATGACTCACTGCAGCCTTGACTTCCTAGGGTCAAGTACTTCCCCTGGCTTAACCTCCTGAGTAGCTGGTACTATAGGTGTGTGCCGGCACACCTGGCTAAATTTAAAATTTTTTGGAGAGATGAGGCCTTGCTATGTTGCCCAGGCTCGAACTCCTGGCCTCAAGCTATCCTTTGTCTTTGCCTCCCAGAGTTCTGGGATTACAGGCATGAGCCGCTGTGCCCGGCCTCTGCCTAGTTTTAATAGTTGCTAAGAGGAGGATGTTGAAGTAGATGTCTTCTTGGTGGGTCAATCCTTTTGTCACTAAGCAGTTGTTATGGTCACTTCCTTTTCACCCCATTGGTGAAGAAGGGGTCCCTGCCCTAAAGTGTAGGAGATGGCTGAACACGACACCTGGCGTGGATGGATGAGATTGACAGCAGTGTTTTAGTCACATATACCCACAGCTCAGAGGAGGACACTGCATGCCACACAGGGTCAGATGGGCACCGCACTCTGTAGCGGAGTGAGGGCTGCGGGCTGAGGAAGCAGGCAGGCTTGGTAGTAACAAGAGCACACAATGACCAATGGTTCCCGAGGGGGAGAGCAATTGGCTTGTTTGAATAAATTCATGGGCTGGCAGACAGGTGAAGTGAAACTTCTTAGGCTGAGGTGCAACTGTTCTGGCTGATAAAAGAACTAGCCAGGTGGGGAGCCTTTCCTGTTGGGCGGCGGGGTAGGGGGTGTCTGGTAGAAACAGGAAAACCCACGGCTAGGCCTTTGGGGCCCTGTGAGGCTCAAAGATGTCAAGGCAGCATAGGAAATTTTAGATCTTAAAATTCAGTGAAGATCCTCTCCAGCTCTGGTAAATTATTTTGCTTGAAGTCTACTTCATGAGATATTAATATATTCACTCCTGCTTCCTTAAAAAATTAATGATTTCACAGGATATCTTTCTCCATTCTTTTACTTTCAACCTACTTAGGTCCTTAAGTGAGTTTGAAGTTTCTTATGAACAGTATTTAGTTGGACCATGTGTTTATTATAGGCTCTCCATCAATCTGTCTTTTGGTTTATTTAGACCATTTACATTTAAGGTGCTTATTGTTACATAATTGCTTATGTCTGATGTTTTTATTATTTGCTTTTTTGTTTCCGTTTTCTTTCCCTCCATCTTGATCTATTTCTGTATAATGTTGTTGCGTGTATCTCTTTGTATAGTCTTAAAGTGTTTGCTCTGGATGTTACAATATGTGTATTGTAATATAGTAGTCTACTGGCACCAGTATTTACCACTTCAAAGTGTGGAAACCTGCCTTGCATTTATGTCTCTTTACCTTTTCCACTTGTATAAATCACTGGCTTGAGTAGTACGTGGTGGTATAGTTTTTGTTTCAGTGGTCAAATGTGATTTTAAGAACTGTGGATTGTCTCGTGTATGTATCCACATTTCTGGTCTTTCCTTTGTCCCCCCTCCCATAGTCCCATATTCATCCCTGCTGCATAAGAACTTTCTGTAGCCATTTTTTTATTTTGATTTGTTTGTTTTAATTTTTTGTATTGTGGAAATGACAGAACATATTTCTGTAGCCACTTTTTAGCATTTCTAAATTGACCAGTGACAAATTCCTATATTTTCTTCCTCTGAGAATGTCTTTATTTCTCTCTTCATTTCTGAAGGGTAGTTTCATGGGATATAGAATTTGCAGCCAACGGTTTTTTTGTTTGGTTGGTTTTTTTGTTTGGTTGGTTTTTTTTAAGCACTTGAAAATGTTGTGCCACTTCCTTCTGGCCTCCATGGCATTTGAGTTGGCACGTCCCTACAGGCATTCTGCCATTTTTGCTCTTTGTTTTTAGTTTTGAAAGTTTAATCAGTGTTGCTTTCTTTTGGGATACTTTGAGGTTTGCTCAGCTTCTTGAATCTGTAAGTTTATATCTTTCACCAAATGTGGGAAGCCTCAGGAATTAGTTATTTGCATGCTTTCGCAGCTCTGGTCTCCTGTGGGACTCAGATAACATAAATGCGGGGTCTTTTGTTATCGTCCCACAGGTCCGTGCAGCTCTGTTCATTTGTTTTCAGGTTATTTTCTCTCTGTTGTTTAGACTGGGTGAATTCTGTTGATCAGGTTTCAGCTTCTCTGATTCTCTCCTCTGTCATCTCCACTTTTACTCAATAGAGCCTATCCAGTTAGATTTTTTTTATATTTCTGTTACTGTATTTTATATTTGTGTAATTTCCATTTGATTCTTCTTCAGTTTCTTTGCTGACGTTTTCAGTTCTTTGATTGTTGCCATAGGATTTGTAGTTGCTTGTTGAAGCATTTTTATACTGACTGTTATAAGTGATGAGTCAGGTGGTTCCAACATCTGCCTATGTAATTTTTTTTTATTTTTGCAGGCAGTCCTCCTGTTTAGGTTTAGTCTGTAGGTCTTGGTCTACTTTGTGGGCTGTGATTCCAATGGCAATTTATTTTCAGAGGCTTCATGGTGTTATTTTGGTCTGTTTGGCTAATATGTATCACTGGGATTCTCCCACCAGTCCCTGCTGTTGCCCACCTGAGGGAACAGGGGAGCTGCCCCAGGCTGGGCCACCTGCTGCAGCTAGGTGGGTGGGGAATGGTGGTTGTCTTGGTGTGTGGAGCTGGTTTTCTTGTTGTGGGGAAGATCTCCTTTGATCTGCGGGGACTGAGTCTGCCTGGGTTGCCTTCTATTGCTACGTTGGGAGTTGGGAAACTCTGGGCTTGGGTCACCTTCCTACTGGATGAGATCCAGGGAGACACCTGGACACTATGCATTCCCTAGTCCTAGAGTCCCTCAGCAGCCTTTTTCTGTCCACCTTTCGGGATTCTCCATTGATCATCTCCTGTCTATTATTTCTAGAGTTTGGGTTACATTTCTTAGGAGGGTATAATGTGTTATCTTCTTTAGACCAGAAATCCTTAGTGGTGGTTTCGGGTTGTAACTGTGCTAAAGGGAGAATTGGCGTATTTGTGATGTCAAGTCTTCCTTTTCAAATGAGGACATACCATTATTCAGTATATAATATTTACAACACCTACTTCCTTGGGTTGAAGAATGTGGTTAAGGCAAGGAAAGTACTTAACACAGTGCCTGGTGTGGAGAGCACTTACGAGTGTTGGTAGTGATGCTATTCCTTTTGTCCTTTGGTAGCATATTAAAGCTTTTCTTCTTTTTTAAATAAATAAAGTTCTGGTGCACTTCTTGTTAGGTTTATTCCTATTTTATCCTTTTTTGCTTTTATTACAAATAGGAGCTTCCTATCTTTTATAACGTCTACCTGGTTCTTTGGCCCTTATGTGAAAATGTTTTAATAGCCTTCTAAACATTGCTCTCCCAAATGAGTTTTAACTGGCCTCTTTCTTTTGTTTTCCTTTTTTTGAGACAGGGTCTCACTTTGTCACCCAGGCTGGAGTTCAGTGACACAATTATGGCTCACTGCAACCTCTGCCTCCCGGGCCCCCAAAGTGCTGGGTTTACAGGTGTGAGCCACTGCACCCAGCCTTACTTGTCTATTTCTTTTAAGAGTGGGAACTATAATTGAACCCAGAGCTCCAAAAACAAATGAAGGAATGAATGAGTGAATAAGCTCTTCCCATGGGTTTGGTGTGGTTTGGGGCTCTACTCTTAATCTAAATGCTATGTTTTATATGATCTAAAATTTCCCCTAGGTGTGTTACACGATTGTGTTGTGTTGAACTTACATTGAGACTCCTTTTCACATGTGCTGGTTATCAGCATGGGACTTTTCCATTCACTCTTTGAATTATTCATTTGGGGGACACAGATAGACCTCTGTGCCTTTCATAAAAAGTGTCCATTGGCCGGTTGCAGTGTCTCATGCCTGTAATCCCAGCACTTTGGGAGGCTGAGGAGGGCAGATCACGAGGTCAGGAGTTCGACACCAGCCTGGCCAATATGGTGAAATCCCATCTCTACTAAAAATACAAAAATTAGCCAGGCCTGGTGGTGGGTGCCTATAATGCCAGCTACTCGGGAGACTGAGGCAGTAGAATTGCTTGAACCTGGGAGGCAGAGGTTGCAGTGAGCTGAGATCGTGCCACTGCACTCCAGCTTGAGTGACAGAGTGAGACTCCATCTCAAAAAAAAAAAAAAAAAAAAAAAAAGAAAGAGTGTCCATTATCTATACTGGAAAAATTGAGATTGGGATTTTTGACATGAAGTGCGGAAATGTGGATTGGGTCCATTTAGTTTACCTAAACAGATGATGAAATACTAACTGTTTTACGAAGCATTCCCTAATGCAAAGTTTTGCCTGTGTGTCTAGTGACGGGAACAGTAAGAATGAGGCTTGGAACGCGGAGCGCACTGTGGGCCTGTCGTGGGTGGGGCCAGCAGCACATGCATGCCTGGCTCACAGAGCAGCCTTTGGGTGTTCTTTTCCCAGAGGAGCTCTACGGTGACTTTGAAGACTTGGAAACAGGACGTGCACAAGGGAAAATCGGGCCCCGACACTCAGGTATGACTTTGTCGTAGCTGGCTGTTCTTGGTCATTGTGTTCTGAGAGAGGCCCACATTGAGAAATGCAAATCTTACTTGTGATGTGTGAAGATTGCAGACTGGATGGATAGATTCCTTCCTAAAGGGTGGGGATGTGGGGACCAAAGAGAAGCTTTCTTGTTTACTTATTAAGTTTTGGACGACAGTTACTACCGTTTCTTGCCATAGTCATTTGCCAAGACCACTGTGATTTTTCACTCACAGAAGTCTTAGCTTCTCAGACTTACATTCAACCATTGCCATCATTCTCCTCTTTTTAAATTTAAGTGTCATTTAAAAGAATGAAGTCCCTGTTCTCCCTAATATTTCTTTAGAACAGGGTCTGGGAGCATCTGGGTGAGGGACATGTCTGTTATTTTTATTCTAGTTTGTGTTCCCAGCCAGCTTAAGGAATAGCAGCTAATTGTAATGCAGATGTAACAATTTCCTGTAGCAGTACCATGTTATTCAGAGACAAAGGTTATGTTGTGTTTTGTTTTGTTTTATTGATAATGATAACAGATTTTTGCTAAGATTTTTGTTTAAATAGAACTTTAAAAAATGTAATGTTTAAAGAAAAGACCTTCATAAACATACACAAAATTTTTTCTTCTGGAAATTTAAGAATGAAGATATAGAGAAACAAGGAAGAAATTGACCCCGACGAAGAAGAAAGTGCCAAGAAAAAGCATTTGGATAAGAAGAGAAAATTGAAGGAGATGTTTGATGCAGAATATGATGAAGGAGAAAGCACATATTTTGATGATCTTAAAGGAGAAATGCAGAAAGAAGCACAGGTGAAAAACCTCAGTTCCTCTCAGCCCCTTGTCAAGACTATCACATAGTGCAGGAATCCCTGACTTTCTTTGGGTCCCTGCTTCCTATCCTGCTTCTGTGCCTTTCATTTGGACTCCTGGGTAGATGCATGTGAGTGTATTTATTCATGCAGTGAGCTCATTGTTTCTACAGTCAGAAGATCACCAGAAAAAGATCCATACCTGTTTTGTAACAAGAATTAGGAAACCGAAGTGACTGAGACATGGTCTCTACTTTTGAGACTTTTACAATGTAGTGATCTGAGACAGTGTGTTTATTTCAGTGCAAGCCAATGCTGCCTATTCCGATCGCTGCTCCCTGATTTGAATGGCAGGTGATCAGTGGCCCGTGTGGCTTATGGACACAGCAGAGCTCCCAGGGGAAGTGCTCTGAAAACTCATCCTGGTCAGAGTTCAGAAGGACATGTGGAGTATAAGGTCAGATGCGGAGATAAAGGGAGATGGTGTGGCCCTCCTGCCTGGGGGTGCTGAGCAGGTTGCTGGAGGCGGTGATCTCACTCTGAAGGAGACAGACACAGAAACGTGTGTACAGTTGATGGTGAGCATCTGAGTTGCGTCTTGTTAGTGAGGCCAGGAGTGCCTGTGTAAGCTGGAACAGATTAGGTATATGATTTGTGAAACGGAGTTTCATCCTAGATCTTCATCTAGTCAAAGGACTGTTTCCTGATTAGGCATTAGCTTAGTGGTTGCTAGTCTGTGTTGACCTTTGAAAGGCATGACTAGGCTAACTCTGAAGTTTCTGCTTCACACCATTTACAATTTAAAATTACCTAGAGCCTTGTGGGCCATTGGAAGAGACTGAATGTTTCACTCTGAAATGGGAGTCCTTGGAGGGTTTTGAGCAGAGGAGAGACATTCAGGTAATCAGATCACTCTGCCAAGACATCAGTCCGGTAGAGATCAGTCCGGTGGCACAAACCAGAGGGCTGGCAGTGGAGATGAGACAAAGAGTCAAACCCGGATAGAGTTTATTTGGAAGCTGGGTCAGTAGGATCTCCTGGTGGACTGAATGTGGGGTGTGTGAGGAAATGAGGATGGCGACTGGAAGTTCCTGGAAGGATGGGTTGTTGCAGGTTAGATAGGAAACTGTCTGCAGATGCAGTTTTGGGAAGATGATGTTTGTTTCGGCTGGGTATCATGCAGACAAGCGGAGTGTCAAGTCTGGAGAGACAGGTCTGGCCAGGGACTTAGATGTACAGCCCTCAGCATGTAGATGCCACTTAACTCTGTGAGGTGGCCGGGGAGTGAGTGCAGAGTGACTGGGAGGAGCAAGACTGGCATGGGCGAGATGGGGCGATTGCGGCCGTGAGGCCTGAGCAGTGCCTAGGAGGGAGAGGGAGAAGCAGTGTGAGCCTGCAGGCACGCAGGAGTCCAGTTGTACACGGAGGCGAAACACTTTTCAGATCCCGCTGCAGTGTTAACTATGGTAAAGGCAGAGTTGACCACCGGAGGAGTCCTTCAGCGTGGAGGCCTTCAGCGATCTTGGCAAGCACCAATTTTCATGGATGTAGGAGAATGGGAGCAGAGGAACTGGAGGCTGCAACTGTGGAAAACTTTTGTGGGGTTTTGCTGCAGAGAGAAGCAGAGAAATGAAGCAGTTTTTGGTGGAAGAAGTGGAATCAAAAGGTTTTGAGATGAGAGAGAGAACAGAGGGAAGAGCTGTTGGAATAAAGTCCAGGAAGAGTGGATGGTGTCTAGTGAGCAAGTGATGTGTGGCCCTGAGTAGAGGCATGGACAAATCATCTGTGCCTGAGCTGCCCGTAGAACTTTCTGTGATCATGGAGATGCACATCTGTGCTTCCCAATGTTGTAACACTGGCCACAGGTTGATACGGACCACTTCCAGTGTGACTAGTGTGATTGAGGAACTGCATTTTAAATATTATGTAATTGTAATTAATTTTAATTTAAATAGCCACACATAGCTCCTCTATGGGGCAGGTCAGAGCTCTGATAAGGCTGGATATGGGAGGAAACCCTGGTATAGGGTTGACCGTAGAGGTTCTTTTGGTTTTGGAGTGAATCAGGAAACAGCCATCAGCTGAGTGAAGGTGAGGGTGGTGGTGGGTGTTTGAAGACAAGGGAAAAGTGTGAAAGAATTATTTGGAGAGGAAGGAAAGAAAGTGTGGACTGGGGATGTTTCCAATGTTTGAGCATGCAGGGCTCCACAGTTATCTACATTTGCTGTCCCTTGGAGCAGGAGAGAAGAAAATGGTTGGGACATATTCTGAACAGACTGTAGAGGTAAAATGTGTAGGGTTTTTTTTTGTTTTTTTGTTTTTTGAGATGGAATCTCGCTCTATTGCCCAGGCTGGAGTGCAGTGGCACGATCTTGACTCACTGCAACCTCCGTCTCCCAGGTTCAAGCGATTCTCTCGCCTCTGCCTCCTGAGTAGTTGGGACTACAGGCACGCACCACCATGCCCAGCTGATTTTGGTATTTTTAGTAGAGACAGGGTTTCACCATGTTGGCGAGGCTGGTTTCAAACTCCTGACCTCATGTGATCTGCCCGCCTCGGCCTCCCAAAGTGCTGGATTACAGGCATGAGCCACTGTACCCGGCCAAATGTGTAGTATTTTTAATAGGATAAAGCCTACATAATTCTGTCCACAGTTCCTTTACTTAGAAATTGCTCATTTGTTCATGTTAATCCTATGTTTATTACAAATAACAGCATACAGGTTTTTCCCCCCCAACCCCATCATGTACAGCTGAATCACGTAGAATTTGAAGATCAAGATGATGAAGCCAGAGTTCAGTATGAGGGTTTTCGACCTGGGATGTATGTCCGTGTTGAGATTGAAAATGTTCCCTGTGAATTTGTGCAGAACTTTGACCCCCATTACCCCATTATCCTGGGTGGCTTGGGCAACAGTGAGGGAAATGTTGGACACGTGCAGGTGGGTCCCTTTGCTGCGTATTTGGTGCCTGAGGCTCTGTGGATTTCCCCTCCATCAATCATCTTACCCTCTCATCCCCCTCAGATGCGTCTGAAGAATCATCGCTGGTATAAGAAAATCCTCAAGTCCCAAGATCCAATCATATTTTCTGTAGGGTGGAGGAGGTTTCAGACCATCCTGCTCTATTATATCGAAGACCACAATGGAAGACAAAGGCTTCTAAAGTATACGCCACAGCACATCCATTGTGGAGCAGCCTTTTGGGGTAAAATATGATTACAATAACTTGCCTATTGCCGAGATTAAACTTTACAGGCTGTGTTATTTTAGCTTTGTGCTTTTCCTTTCATAAAATTCCACTCCTAAGATGTTTCTCTTTTCTGGGAGCGGGGAGGTGGTTTGGAGTATATATGTACATCTATATCCAAATCTAAATGTCAATATCCAGTATGTTAAACTAGAATCTAAAATTTCTGGTTTGCTATATTTCTTTTTTTCCTTTTCCTTTAAGACCCTATCACTCCACAGGGAACTGGTTTCTTGGCAATACAGTCTGTCAGTGGCATAATGGTAACTATCTTGGACGATTTCTTTTACAGATTGGTTTGAGAAATATATCCTGAATGTGGGTTATTATGTACATGAGACTTTAAGTTGAAAATTACTCATTTTTATTAATATAAAGTAAATTTCCCTTTGCTTTTAATCTTCGTACATCCTTTTCAGTAGGGTGTGGGATTAGAGGAGGGGAGGTGGAAGAATTATAATGGTACATTTCCTATTTTTATGCATCTTTTGCATTTATTTATCCAAGCAAGTATTTAAGCAGTGCTCACCATGTGCTAAGCACTATATGAGGTTATGAGGAGCCGTCAGAGACCACCCAGACACAAGACTCCCTGCAGCTGTGCTGGGGTAGCAGTCTGTTCACTCCATTTTCATTTGACCAGTCAGGCAGGGCAGGGTTTACTGGTCCCATTTAACAGAGAAGAAAGCAGAATAATGAGCAGATGGAATCTTCCCTGGAGGTCCAAATTTTAATTTCCTAAACATTGCAACTGTATTTTTCTTTTCCATTTCGTTCCAAATAAATCATTATAGTAAAATTACATTCCTCTGAAATCACTCTCAGGAAAGTACTCAAGTAGCCTTTTTTTTTTCTTTCTTTTTTTTTTTTTTTTTTTTTGAGACCGAGTCGCACTCTGTCTTCCAGGCTGGAGTGCAGTGGCACGATCTTGGCTCACTGAAACCTCTGCCTCCTGGGTTTAAGCGGTTCTCCTGCCTCGGCCTCCCGAGTAGCTGGGATTACAGGTATGCACCATCATGCCGAGCTAATTTTTGTATTTTTAGTAGGGATGGAATTTCGCCATGTTGGCCAGACTGGTTTCAAACTTCTGACCTCAGGTGATCCACCTGCCTTGGCCTCCCAAAGTGCTGGGATTACAGGTATGAGCCACTGTGCCTGGCCTCAAGTCACCCTTGTTAGTTTGGCTTACCAACTTTAAAGTTTTGGATTGCTTTTGTCAAACCAATGGGTTGCAAGTTCAGATGGTCTCTCTTGTTTTTCTTAACTAATTGTAAGTAAAATTCACTTTGGTAATTTATTGTGTCACATAGAATTGAAGTTTTTCTCTTGCTAATATTATTCCTATTTTCAAATTTTGGGGCTCCTGTTAGCCTGATTTTCGGATAGCTGCCACAGGAGTTGTCCTTGATCTGGATAAATCCATAAAAGTTGTGAAGAAATTAAAGCTAACTGGTTTTCCATATAAAATTTTCAAGAACACTTCATTTATTAAGGTCTGTATATCTGTATATTCTCATATTTATAAATGTCCATATTGTTTGAGAAAAGGAATGAAATACCTCTAAAATGTGGGCCTCTTATTTTTAGAAAAGTGTTTGAAATCTTTTATAAACTTCATATTTTGTTTGCTCCTTTATATTCTGTATTACTTAAATATGCTCAAAAAAGCAGTGGTAAACAGCTATTTAGGAATTGAGGCTGTTACTCCTGACTTCCATGTGAGACTGCCACAGAACTCATATTGAAAATATGTCATTTTATCCACTAGGTTTTGTTTCCTACTTTTTAAATTGGTGTTAAGAAAGGGAAAAAAATCACAAGTTTGTCTAACTCAGTAGAAAAATCGACAAAGCATTTGCAGACAACTTGGCAAGGGTACAGAGAAATGGATGTACTGTTTTTCAGTATTTTGGGAGGGTGGTTTGAGCAGCATTTATTGACAATTTCATTAGTGGGGATGTTTCTATTGAAAACAGTGTTAGGAAGTCATAAAATGTTCTTGCAATATAAGGTAATAATACCACCGGCGTTTATCTTACTGTTTTCATGTTCTAAGTGCATGCATCTGAGTAAAAGGATCTGGGCTGCAGTCCAGTCTGAGAGATGCCAGCAAAGGCTTCCTAGGCTAATTCAGTCCAGTAAATCCCTCTTCGATCTTCTCTTCCACACAGACAGCAGTGATGAGCATGCCCATGAACTCACATGATTATTTTGGGGAAAATGAAAGAGTTGTATTCTTTTTGAGGTAGTAATTCCACTTTCAGGGGCAAATACATTTTGATTATTTTATCACCCTTCAGTGAGTTGTTTTTGTTCTTTAATCAAGGATGTATGTTTGAAGTAAGAAGTAAAGCATAAAGTATATGATTTTGTGTGTGTGTGTGTTTTTATCTTGCTATACCTGTAGGGAATGTTTAATTCTGCCTTGGAAGTGGCCAAATTTGAAGATGCTGTGATTCGAACTGTCAGTGGGATAAGGGGGCAGATCAAGAGAGCACTCTGAGCTCCAGAAGGAGCTTTCCAGGATAGCTTTGAGGATAAGCTGCGGATGAGCGGTGAGTGTCTTAAGTAGTGTTCAGGGCAGGGTGTTACCATTCATGCTTGACTTCTAGCCAGTGTGACGAGAGGCTGGAGTCAGGTCTCCAGAGAGTTGAGCAGCTCCAGCCTTAGATCTCCCAGTCTTATGCAGTGTGCCCATTTGCCTTGTGTCTGCAGTCCCCTGGCCACACCCAGTAACAGTTCTGTGATCTATGAGAATAGTTTCCTTAGCGAGCTTTCCCTTCAAATACTTTGCAGCCAGGTAGAGAAGTTTGGAGTGAAGATTTTGTTCTTTGTTTCTTCACAATATGGATATGAATCTTCTTTTGAAAACGTTAAAGTAAATTACCTCTTTTCAGATATTGTCTCCATGCGAACTTGGTATCCTGTTTCCATCCCAGCCTTCTATAACCCAGTAACATCTTTGTTGAAACCAGTGGGTGAGAAAGACACCTGGTCAGGAATGTGGACCACGGGCCAACTCAGGCTCGCCCATGGTGTCAGACTAAAGACAAACAAGGACTCTCTGTATAAGGTACTGGTCGTGTGTGTGTTAGTGGAGATGAAGCCTGTGCTCTACAGACAGGGAGTCACACAGACACTTTTCTATAATTTCTTACATACTTTGAATGTTCAAGTATAAAGTCTAATGTTAAATTTGATTGAACAATTGTATATTTGTGGGATATTTTGGAATGGAACACCAAAAAATGGTAATAGTGGTTCTTTCTGGATTGAAGGAAAACTTTTCTTTTTTAAAATAAATTTTATTTTATATATTTGAGGTTGACAACATGATCTTAAAGGATACATATAGATAGTAAACTGGTTACTATAGTGAAGCAAATTAACATAGCTACCATCTCACATAGTTAGATTTTTGTTTGTGTGACAGGAACAGCTAAAATCTACTTATTTAACAAAAATCCCAAAGACAATATATTTTTATTAACTATGGCCCTCATGATGTACACTAGATCTCTAACTTGTTCATCCTACATGTCTGCTACTTTGTATTATTTTAATGTACATCTCCCCATTTCCTATTGGTCATTTCCTATTTGGCCCATTTTTCAACTGGGTTGTTTTTCTGCTCTTAAGTTGTAAGAGTTCTTTACTGATTTTTGGATATTAACACTTTATCAGATATGTGGTTTGCAAATATTTCTTCCAGTCTGTAGGTTCCCCTTTCATTTTGTTGGTTGTTCCTTTGCTGTGCAGAAGCTTTTTAGTTTGATGCAGTCCTCCTTGTTTATGTTTACATTTGTAGCCTGGCTTGTGGTGCGATATCCAAAAAATTATTGCTAAGGCCAATGTCAAGAGGCTTTCCCCCTATGTTTTCTTCTAGGAGTTTTATGGTTTCAGGTCTTATTTGGGTCTTTGGTCTTGTATCTGTTTTGAGTTGATTTTTGTGTATGGTGTATGATCAGGGTCCAATTTTATTCTTTTGCATGTGAAAATCCTATTATTGAAGAGACTATCTTTTTTACCATTGTGTTGTCTTGTTTGCCCTTGTCAAAAATTAGTTGACAGTATATGTTTGGATTTATTTCAAAGGTCTCTGTTACGTTCCATTGGTCTATTTTTTTGTTTTTATGCCAGCACCATACTGTTTTGATTACTATAGCTTTGTAATACAATTTTAAATCAAGAGGTGTGATGCCTCCAACTTTTTCTTTCACAGTTATCTGTTGGCTGTTTGGGGTTTTTTGTGGTTCCATAGGAGTTTCAGGATTGTTTTTTCTTTTCTTTTCTTTTCTTTTTTTTTTTTTTTTTTTTTTTTTTTTTGAGGTGAAGTCTCACTCTGTCACCCAAGCTGGAGTGCAGTGGCATAATCTCGGCTCACTAAAACCTCTGCCTCCTGGATTCAAGCAATTCTTCTGCCTCAGCCTCCCAGGTAGCTGGGACTACAGGCACATGCCACTATGCCCGGCCAATTTTTGTAGTTTTAGTAGAGACAGGGTTTCACTATGTTGGCCGGGCTCGTCTCCAACTCCTGACCTCATGATCCACCCGCTGCAGTCTCCCAAAGTGCTGGAATTACAGGCGTGAGCCACTGTGCCTGGCCAGGATTGTTTTATTCTGTTCTGTGAAGAATGTCATCAGAACTTTGATGAGGATTGTGTTAAATCTGTATATTTGCTTTGGGTAGTGTGAACATTTTAACAATATTAATTCTTCTGATCCATAAACATAGGATGTCTTTCCATTTGTTCATGTCTAGATTTCTTTCATCAATGTTTTATGGTTTTTAAGTGTACACATCTCTCACCTTCTTGGTTAAATTTATTCCTAAGTTTTTGTTTTTCTTTGATGCTATCGTAAATGAGATTATTTTCTTGATTGCTTCATCAGCTAGGTTATTTGTATACAGAAATGCAACTGATTTTTATATGTTGAGTTTATACCTTGCAGCTTAACTGAATTGATTTAGTAGTTCTCACAGTTTTTTGTGGACTCTTTGGAGTTTTTTACGTAAAGGATCTTGTCATCTGCAAATAGAGATAATTTTACTTCTTTAATTTAGTTGCCTTTTTTTTCTCATCTGATTGCTCTTGCAAGTACTCTATTGAATAAAAGTGATGAGGCTGGCCATCCCTATCTTGTACTCAATCTTAGTGGAAAAGCTTTAGTTGTTCCCCACTAACTATGATTAGACTGTGGGTTTTTCATAAATGGTGTTTATTATGTTGAGGAACTTTCCTTCTATACATAAACTATTAAGAGGTTTTATCAAGAAATGTTGCTAAACTTTGTTAAATGCTTTTACTGCATCAATTGAGGTGACCATGTCATTTTATCTTTCATTTTGTTAATGTGATATATCACATTGATTGATTTACATATTTTAAACCAGCCTTGCATGCCAGGGATAAATCCCACTTAAACACGATGTATAATGTTTTTGATGTGTTGTTGAATTCTATTTGCTAAAATTTTTTTATGATGTTTGCATCAGTATTTAATTTATTGGAGAAGTTGACCTGTAGTTTTTGTTTGGTGTGTGCGTGTGTGTGTGTGTGTGTGTGTGTGTTTGTGTGTGTGTGTGTGTGTGTGTGTGTGTTTTGGTTTGGCTTAGGTATTAAGGTGATACTGGCCTGGTAAAATGTGTTTGGAATTATTTCCTCTCACTCTGTTTTTGCGAAGAGTTTAAGAAGTAAACTCCCAGGGGATGGGAGTGACTCTGGACATGGGAGTGACATGATAGTGACTCTGGACCCTGCAGTGGTGGGACACAGCAGCATCTCAGTCTATGAAAGGCCAGGCACAGCATCAGCAAGGACCCCAGAATGGTGGAGCACTACTGTGGCTTGGGCCCTCGGGGGCAGGGACCAGTACAGCAACTACTTCTCTCCCTGGGGAGGCAGGTGCCTGGGCAACTCAGATTCTCCAGGGCTAGTCCAGTTCCAAGGAAGCAGGGTTCTACAGTTGTTTGTCCTGAAGGGCAAGGTACCCCAGTTCAGCCAATGCCGTTTTCCTGGGATATGGGGGTGCCATGTTGGCTCATCCCTGGCAGGTGTGGCTGCTCAGCTCAGCCAAGACACTGATTCCCTGTGAAGCAGGGCAGTGCTTCAGCTCTCGTGCAGTGGGGGGTGTGACTGCTTAGACTGGCCAAGACACTGATTCCCTGGAAAGCAGGGCACCAAGTCAGCTCAGGCTCCAAGGGGCAGGGCACAATGGCAGCTGGGAGGGGAGGGGCACAGCAGCGTGGCCCCGCAGGTGGGGTGTATGCTGTGATGTGGACATCATTTGTTCCCACCAGCCATTTGAAATTTCATCCATTTGAAATTTGATTCCAAATGTGCTGGTGTGGGAGGTGGGGCCTAGTGGGAGTTATTTGGGTCACAGGGCAGATCCTTTATGAATAGATTAATGCCTTTTCATGGGACTGGATTAGTTACCAGGAGTGGATTGTTATCAGAGTGAGTTCAGCTTCCTAGACTCTTGTGTTTCCTCTCTTGCCATGTGAGCCCCTTGCATACACCTGTTTCGTCTTCCACTTTCCCCATGAGATGAAGCAGCACAAGACCCTCACCAGTTGTGCTGCCTGATCTCGGACTTTTCAGACACAAGCAGGGTGAGCCAAATAAACCTTTTTTATAGAATAAGTTACCCCGAGTCTCAAGTATTCTGTTACAGCCACACTAAATGGCCTAAGACAGTGTAACAGCGGCTCGGGGGTGGTGGGCCACTAGGTGGGTGTGATATAGAGCAACAAAGCCTGAGGATGGAAGAAGGGTGCGGTGGCTGCTCACCCTGGGTGGGACATGCTCCCGAAGTGGTCCAGGTCCAGGAGGGCACGTTGCAGCAGCAGCTGGTCCATGGGGGTGGGGCACAATGTCAGTTCCTTCTCTGAGGGGAGTGCTGGGGCTACTGGGCCCCTCTTGCTTCCTTATCCCTGCAGGGAGACATCCCCTCTGCTTCAGGCTGATCCCTCTGGGGGAATGGGTGGTGGGGGCCAGATGTTTCCTTCCCTCCTTTACGTGACCGTCCTGTTTTCCGGGCTCTACTGGATTTCTGCTACTCCTTGATGCACTCTGGGGCTCTCCTTTAGTGACTTTCATCAAAATATAGCTGTTTGCTGCTTTGGCTGTCTTTGTCAGGGGATGAGTGCAAGGGGCTATTGATCAGCCCTTAGCTGGCATCACTCCCTCTTAAACTTTTCACTGGATACTCTTTTGAACTATTTTTCCCCCCACCATATACATGTATTTTTTAAACGTTAATGTGCTAATTTCTACTAAAGCAATGTGGATTTTTCTGAAAGCTTTAATGTTTTAATAAGCTTTTTATTGAAATGTTAATGTACATACAGAAGAGTGCCCGAATCATAAGTGTGCATCTAGATGAACTGTAGCACACCAGGCTGCCACGCCCTGGACCAAGCAGTAGCCTTGACCTGTGGCCTCTCCCAGGCACTGCTGCCCCAACCCACAAAATAGCTACTTTCCCAGTTCCTGATGTAGATTTGTTCTGCCTGGTTTTGACTTCTATAAAATACAGCACATTCTATTTAGCCTGGCTTCTTTGGTTCAGTATTACAGAACACATCCATGTTCTTGTCTATGGCAGACATTGATTTATCGTCATTGTTGAGTTCCATTATATGACTGTGTCACCATTTTTCCATTGATGAGTAAAATGATTTCCTATTTTTGGCTGTTATCCCACGGCCCTGAACAGTAAGTCTGCATATGGGACTTGCAGGTATGCAGGGGCACACCCACTTCTGCTGGAGGATCCCTGGGTGGGGTGGAGACTCCAGGGCACCTGTGCTCTGCTTCAGTGTGGAGGCTTCTGTGTTGTGTTCTGGGAGCACAGTGGCTTGGCCTCCGCCACCAGCAGCAGCTTGAAGAGTTCCTGCTGTTCCACATGCTTGCCAACAATTGGCCTCTTCAGTTTTTTTTTTTTTTTTTTTTTTTTAGGTTTTCAGTGCCTGCCTGGACTTGTGTTTTCATTTAGATTTTGGTTTCTTAGAACTTTCGTTATTCTCTTCACAGCTTAACAATGCATTTGAAAAGATTTGTTTTCATGTGGAGTATTCAGTTTTGTAATAGGAGGGTTGTTCAAGGCATCAGTCTGCCACTCTGCTAGAAACAGAATTCTCCCAGGCATTTCTTTTTATATAAAGTAGTTAATGAAATTTTGAACCATCTTACATGAATTTTTATTAAAATACACTTCAGGATGTGGTGCCCATTATCCATTCTACTCTTTTGTAACAAGTAGATTTCTCTGAATTCTTGAATTTGAAAACAATTGGGGTTCCTAAACAGAGAATATGGAATATTATTGGGGATGATGTCTTTAATAATACATCTCAAGATAGGAGAAACTTTTTCTATATAGTTGACTTTAATAAAAGCCTAGGGCAAAACTTTCAATATATTAACAGTATTTATGAGGCAGTTAAGAATTTGGGTCATCTCTGTCTCCACTAAAAATACAAAAAGTTAGCCAGGTGTGGCGGCGGGTGCCTGTAGTCCCTGCTACTTGGGAGGCTGAGGCAGGAGAATGGTGTGAACCCGGGAGGTGGAGGTTGCAGTGAGCCGAGATCATGCCACTGCACTTTAGCCTGGGCAACAGAGCGAGACTGCGTATCAAAAAAAAAAAAAAAAAAGAATTTGGGTCATCTCAATTAAACATAGAATTTAAGATTACATTGAAAATTCAGTACAGAGTATTTTGCCTTCATCTGTTGTTTGAGTCTCCCTTCTTTCAGCCATCCTTCCATCAGAAATAGAATACCAAGTTAAACTTCTTAATTAGAATCAGGAATCAGGACTCTTTGGCTGCTGATTGAAGGAAGAACTGTCCTTAAATCCAGAGTGGGCCGGGCATGGTGGCTCATGCCTGTAATCCTAGCACTTTGGGAGGCCAAGGCAGATGGATCACCTGAGGTCAGGAGTTCAAGAGCAGCATGACCAACATGGTGAAACCCCATCTCTACTGAAAATACAAAAATTAGCCGGGCGTGGTGGTGTGTGCCTATAGTCCCAGATACTTCGGAGGCTGAGATAGGAGAATTGCTTGAACCTGGGAGGTGGAGGTTATGTGAGCCAAGATCACGCCACTCCACTCTAGCCTGGGCGACAGGGCGAGACTCCATCTCAAAAAAAAAAAAAAAAAAAATCCAGAGTGGTTGGTAGTCAAGACAAAAAGCTAGATTATTTTTGTTAGTCTGGGAACTAAAAAAAATAGTTGTAACTTTGAAGCCTTTTTATGGATCAACATGAAGTTTGAGGGATCTCAAACAGAAAGGGCATCCTGGTGGCAAAGGTTAATCATTACCAGACTGCAAGAGTAGTTTCAATGGCAAGAAAGCAGCAACAGAATCAATGAAAACAAAGCAATGATTAGAATGCCCTTTCCCCTTCTCCTCCTGACTTGTAGACACTGATTGTCTTCCTTGGACTTAGGGAACCCCTTAGGTTCTTGAAAAAATTCAATGATCAGGCTATAGTAGATGGTCCCCAGTACACAGCACAAGATTTTTTGATAAACTGGACATTTTGAAACCCAAATAACTAATTAGAAAAATCAAACATGTGAAACTACTTTATCCTATGCATAGGGGTTATACTGGAAATAAAATGTACAACATTGGAATCCTGAAGGAGAAAAGTCCTAAAAGTTTCAATATCAAGAATCCTGCACCTGCTGCTACTTATCTAGCCTTTTGCTTGATTTCTGGCTGATGAACTTGCACAACTCTTGAAAACTTAAAAACTTGAAAATTTGTCACTTGAAAACTACTTGAACCAAACTATGAAATCTCACCTGATATATAAGATGCAATTGTTACAATTATTTTAAACTTCAATTTACTGTTTTGCTCTATCAAAAGAAAGTTTCAACTCTGTTAGTTGAGTACACACATCCTAAACAAGTTTCTGAGAATGCTTCTGTCTAGTTTTTATGGGAAGATATTTCCTTTTTCACCTTAGGCCTGAATGCGCTCCAAATGTGCACTTCCAGATACTACAAAAAGAGTGTTTCAAACCTGCTCTGTGAAAGGGAATGTTCAACTCTGTGACTTGAATGCAAACATCACAGAGATGTTTCTGAGAATGCTTCTGTCTAGATTTTATATGAAGATATTCCTGTTTCCAATGAAATCCTCAAAGCTATCCAAATATCCACTTGCAGATTCTACAAAAAGAGTGTTTCAAAACTGCTCTATCAAAAGAAAGGTTCAACTCTGTCAGTTGAGTACACACATCACAAACAAGTTTCTGAGAATGCTTCTGTCTAGTTTTTATGGGAAGATATTTCCTTTTTCACCATAGGCCACAAAGCGCTCCAAATGTCCAGTTGCAGATACTACAAAAAGAGTGTTTCAAACCTGCTCTATGAAAGCGAATGTTCAACTTTGTGACTTGAATGCAAACATCACAAAGACGTTTCTGATAATGCTTCTGTCTAGATTTTATCTGAAGATATTCCCGTTTCTAACGAAAACCTCAAAGCTATCCAAATATCCACTTGCAGATTCTACAAAAAGAGTGTTTCAAAACTGCTGTATCAAAGGAAAGGTTCAACTCTGTGAGTTCAGTACACACATCACAAGGAAGATTCTGAGAATTCTTCTGTCTAGTTTTTATGGGAAGATATTTCCTTTTTCACAATAGTCCTCAACGCCCTCCGAGTTTCCATTTGCAGATTCGACAAAAAGAGTGTCTTAAAACTGCTCTGTGAAAAGGAATATTCAACTCACTGAGTTGATTGCAAGCACCAAAAAGAAGTTTCTGAGAATGCTTCTGTCTAGTTTTTATGTGAAGATATTCCCGTTTCCAATGAAAGCTGCCAAGCTATCCAAATATCCACTTGTAGATACTACAAAAAGACTGTTTCAAACTGGTGTATCAAAAGAAATGTTAAACTCTGTGAGTTGAGTACACACATCACAAAGAGGTTTCTGAGAATGCTTCTCTCTTGTTTTTATGTGAAGATATTCCTGTTTCCAACAAAATCCTCAAAGCTATCCATATATCCACTTGCAGATTCTACAAAAAGTGTGTTTCAAAACTGCTCTATCAAAAGAAAAGTTCAACTCTGTGAGTTGAGTACACACATCACAAAGAAGTTTCTGAGAATTCTTCTGTCTAGTTTTTATGGAAGATATTTCCTTTCTCACCATAGGCCTCAAAGCGCTCCAAGTTTCCACTTCCATATACTACAAAAATTGTGTTTCCAAACTGCTCTATGAAAAGGAATGTTCAACTCAGTGAGTTGAATGCAAGCATCACAAAGAAGTTTCTGAGAATGCTTCTCTCTAGTTTCTATGTGAAGTTATTCCCGTTTCCAATGAAATACTCAAAGCTGTCCTAATATCCACTGGTAAAGTCTACAAAAACAGTTTTTCAAAACTGCCTTTTCAAAGGAAAGGTTTAACTCTGTAAGTTGAGTAAACACGTCACAAAGTAGTTTCTGAGAATCCTTCCGTCCACTTTTTAGGTGAAGATATTTCGTTTTTCACCATAGGTCTCAAATCGCTCCAAATGTCCACATGCAGATTTCACAAAAAGAGAGTTTCAAAACTGCTCTATGAAAGGGAATGTTCAACTCTGTGAGTGGAATGCAAAGATAACAAAGAAGTTTCTGAGAATGCTTCTGTCTAGTTTTTACGTGAAGATATTCCCCTTTACAACGAAAGCCTCAAAGCTATCTAAATATCCACTTGCAGATTCTAAAAAGGAGTGTTTCAAACGTGCTGTATCAAAAGAAAGGTTAAACTCTGTGAGTTGAGTACACACATGACAAAGAAGTTTCTGAGAATGCTTCTGTCTCATTTTTATGTGAGGATATTTCGTTTTTTACCATAGGCCTCAAAGCGCTCCAAATGTCCACTACCAGATACAAAAAAAAGAGTGTTTCAGAACTTCTGTATGAAAAGGAATGTTCAACTCTGAGAGTTGAATGCAAACATCACAAAGTGGTTTCTGAGAATGCTTCTGTCTGGTTTTTATGTGAAGATAATCCCGTTTCCAATGAAATCCTCAAAGATATCCAAATATGCACTTGCAGATTTTACAAAAAGTGTGTTTCAAAACAGCTCTATCAAAAGAAAAGTTCAACTCTGTTAATTGAGTACACACATCACAAAGAAGTTTCTGAGAGTTCTTCTGTCTAGTTTTTATGGGAAGATATTTCGTTTTTCACCATAGGCCTCAAAGCGCTCCAAGTTTCCACTTACAGATTCTACAAAAAAAGTGTTTCAAAACTACTCTATGAAAAGGAATGTTCAACTCAGTGAGTTGATTGCAAGCACCACAAAGAAGTTTCTGAGAATGCTTCTGTGTAGTTTTTATGTGAAGGGATACCCGTTTCCAACGAAGGCCTCAAAGCTGTCCAAACATCCACTTGCAAATACTACAACAAAAGTGGTTCCAATCTGCTCTATCAAAAGAAAGATTCAACTCTGTGAGTTGAATGCACACATCACAAAGAAGTTTCTGAGAATGCTTCTGTATAGTTTTTAATTGAAGATATTCCCGTTTCCAACGAAATCCTCAAAGCTATCCAAATATCCACTTGCAGATTCTACAAAAAGAGTGTTTCAAACCTGCTCTATCAAAAGAAAAATTCAACTCTGTGAGTTGAATGCACACATCACTAAGAGGTTTCAGAGAATGCTTCTGTCTAGTCTTTATGTGAAGGTATTCCTGTTTCCAGTGAAGGCCTCAGAGCGGTCCAAATATCCCCTTACGAAGTCTACTAAAAGAGTGTTTCAAAACTGCTCGATAAGGTATGTTCAAATCTGTGAGTTGAATGCAAACATCACAAAGAAGTTTCTGAGAATGCTTCTGTCTAGTTTTTATGTGAAGTTATTTCCTTTTCTACCATTGGCCTCAAAGCGCTGCAAATGTCCACTTGCAGATTCTACAAAAAAGTATTTCAAACCTGCTCTATCAAAAGAAAGGTTCAACTCTCTGAGTTGAATGCACACATCACAAAGAAGTTTCCGAGAATTCTTCTTTCTGGTTTTTATCTAAAAATATTTCCATTTCCACCGTAGGCCTAAGAGCGATCCAAATGTCCACTTGCAGATTATACAAAAACAGTGTCTCAAAACTGCTCTATCGAAAAGAAGGTTCAACTCTGTGAATTGAATGCACACATCACAAAGAAGTTTCTGAGAATGCTTCTGTCTAGTGTTTATGTGAAGGTATTCCCGTTTCCACCGAAGACCTCAAAGCACTCCAAATATCCACTTGCAGATTCTACAAAAAGAGTGTTTCAAAACTGTTCTGTCAAGAGCAATGGTGAACTCCATGAGTTGAATGCACAAATCACAAAGAAGTTTCTGAGAATGCTTCTGTCTAGTTTTTGTGTGATGATATTTCCTTTTCCAACATAGGCCTCAGAGCAGTCCAAGTATCCACTTGCAGATTCTACAAAAAGAGTGCTGCAAAACTGCTCTGACTAAAGGAATGTTGAACTCTTTGAGTTGAATGCACACATCACAAAGTAGTTTCTGTGAATGCTTCTATCTAGTTTCTGTATGAACATATTTCCTTTTCTACCATAGGTCTCAAAGCGCTCCAAATATCCACCTGCAGATTCTACAAAAAGAGTGTTTCAAAACTGCTCTACCAAAAGGAAGTTTCAACTCTCTGAGTTTAATGCAGACAGCACAAAGAAGTTTCTCTGACTACTTCTGTGTTGTTTTTATTTAAAGATATTTCCTTTTCCAACACAGAGCGCAAAGGGCTCCAAATATCCACTTGCAGTTTCTTCAAAAGAGAGATTCTAAACTGCCCAATCAAAAGATAGGTTCATCTTTGTGAGTTGAATGCATACATCACAAAGAAGTTTGTCTGAATGGTTCTGTGTAGTTTTATTTAAAGATAATTCCTTTTCCACCATAGGGCACAAATGGCTCCAAATATCCACTTGTAGATTCTACAAAACCAGAGATTCAAAACTGCTCATTGAGAAGATAAGTTCAACTCAGTGATTTGAATGTACACATCACGAAGAAGTTTCTTGGAATGTTTCTGTGCAGTTTTTATTGAAGATATTTCCTTTTCCACCATAGGGCGCATTGGGCTCCAAATATCATCTTGCAGATGCTAGAAAAAGAGAAACTCTAAACTGCTCAATCAACAGATAGGTTCAACTCTGTGAGTTGAATGCCCACATCACAAAGAAGTTTCTCAGAATGCTTCTGAGTAGTTTTTATGTGAAGATGTTTCCTTTTCCACAATAGGCGGCAAAGTTCTCCAAATATCCACTTGAAGATTCTACAAAAACGGTGTTTCAAAACTGCTCAATGAAAAGAAAGTTTCAACCCTGTGAGATGAATGCACACATCACAAAGAAGTTTCTCAGAATCCTTCTGTGTTGTTTTTATGAGAAGATATTTCCTTACCACTGTGGGCCTCAGTGGGCTCCAAATATCCACTTCCATATTCTACAAAAAGAGTGTTTCAAAACTGCTCACTCATGAGATAAATTCATCCCTGTGAGATGAATTCACACGTCACGAAGTAGTTTCACAGAATGCTTCTGTTAATTTTTATGTGAGGATATTTGCTTTTCCACAGTAGTCCTCAAAGGGCTCCAAATATCCACCTGCAGATTCTGCAAAAAGAGAGATTCAAAACTGCTGAATCAAAAGATATTTTCAACTCTGTGAGTTGAATGCACACATCGCAAAGAAGTTTGTCTGAATGCTTCTGTGTAGTTTTTATTTGAAGATATTTCCTTTTCCACCACAGGCCCCAAACTGATCCAAATATCCACATGCAGATCCTTCAAAGGAAGTGTTTCAAAACTGTTCGATCAAAAGAAAGGTTCAATTCTGTGAGATGAATGCACACATCACAAAGAAGTTTCTCAGAAGGCATTTGTGTAGTTTTTATGTGAAGATGTTTCCTTTTCCTCCATAGGCCTCAAATCGCTCCCAATGTCCACTTGCAGATTCTACAAAAAGAGTGTTTCAAAGCTGCTCAATCAAAAGAAATGTTCAGCTCTGTGAGATGAATGCACACATCACAAAGAAGTTTCTCAGAATGCTTCTGTCTAGTTTTTAAGAGAAGATATTTCCCTTTCCTCTAGAATTCCCAAAGCCCTCCAACTTTGCAGATACTACAAAAAGAGTGTTTCAAAACTGCTCAATCAAAAGAATATTTCAACTCTGTGAGTTGAATGCACACATCACAAAGAAGTTTCTCAGAATGTTTCTGTCTAGTTTTTATGTGAAGATATTTCCTTTTCCACCATAGGCCCCAAAGCACTCAAAATATCCACTTGCAGATTCTACAAAAACAGTGTTTCAGAACTGCTCAATCAAGAGAAACATTCAACTCTGTGAGATGAATGCATAGATGACAGAGGAGTTTCTCAGAATGCTTCTGTCTGGTTTTGATGTGAAGATATTTACTTTTCCACCATAGAATGTAAAGCACTCCAAATATCCACTTGCAGACACTACAAAAAGAGTATTTCAAAAGTGCTAAATCAAAAGAAAAGTTCAACTCTGTGAGGTGAATGCACACATTACAAAGAAGTTTCTCAGAATGCTTCTTTCTTGTCTTTATGTGAAGATATTTCCTTTTCCATTCAGAACCTCGTAGCAGTGTTCTGTAATCCTGTGTGAGGGACAAACACTCAGAATCCAGCCACTGTGTACTGGAATCCTATCTGAGGGCACACATTTAAAATCCAGATGTAGTCTCCTTGCTTTAGTGAATACACTTATCTCCTTTTCCTGCTATACATTTAGGCAAATTATTTTTCTGTATCTTAAATAAATGGTAAATACCTGAAATTTCTTACTTTTTCCAGGCACAGTGTCTTCACTATGTAGCTGTAGAAGTATAACTATTTTTGTCTGTGTCACAATTTTGTACTCAGGAACCCTGGCCATGTCACTAGCCAAACGGACATAACTTATGGAATACATGGACAGCATCCGGTTGATATGCTCTAGAGAAAAATAGCAGCTACCATAGACTTCAGGAAAGACACATCGAGCCAATGACAAAAATGTGGGTTTCCTACCTTCAGGGAGTCTAAGAATGCAGTAGAAAGTGATGTGGAGAAAACATCTTTCAAATGGAAGGAAGGGATAGGGAAAGGAAGACTGTTAGAGGCTCTTTTGAATGTTAGAGGCAACATAAAACATATTTGGATGTGTATTCTAAATAAAATGCAAATGTCAAGAAGGATGTCAGCTGTGAGTGGGACTCAGAGAAAGAGAAACGTTTTGGACTACAGAGGCCTGCAGTACAAGTGGATCTACAATTTTGTTTAGGGAATCCAATGCCTCAGGTATCTATGAGAGGCAGAATTTTCCTATGGAGCCAGCGGCAAGGCTCCAGAGGAGAAATACAGTACAAGCCACTTTATTTTGGAGTAAAAGCCTTTTGTACAAAAATTACCCGCCCCCTCCTTTTTTGAGAAACAATTTCACATTGGGATACTAATAAGAAGGAATGCTCAGTCATGAATAAGGGTGACCCCGTTGTGATCTGAGCATTATAGGATCATAGTAACTACAACCAGTCTTCCATCATTCCATGGAAATTGCATGTATGCCACGTTGCCTTCTCAGTTTCCAAGGGACCAATTAATGAACAGGCTACTCACATTTTCAGCATCCTACTCCTGACACACTCCCACCCTTCTTTCTATTTATCTGTGATTCATAGAGATTTGCCTATGACTGGATTCCTGAGGAGAAAAAAGTCTGGATTACAGATGGCATTCCTTGTTATGGAAGGCCCTTCCTTCTGAAAGTCTATTTCTATCATGTTCTTTCCCTGTGCTGTCAAAGGGTCACCCCTTTGTACAAAGGAGAAGAGAAATCCATCAAGTAAATAAAATTTCATTTACCTTTGTAAAAAATATTTCTACCAATTCACGTGGAGGACCTTATGGTTTGGTCCGATAATCAGAGATTTGAAAGAACCTGATATTGTTGGCCAGCAGATTAGAAAAGAGTTATTAGAGAGAGATGGCTCAAGTGATAATAACTGTGTGCCTTGTGAATGCTCACCTAAACCAAAGATCACTGAAGATAATGTATTTTACCATAATGTTTTAATCTCAGGTAAATGCCAATTAGGAGACAAACACTTGTTTATCTCCTGATTGGTATTGATCTGAATTAAACTGTCTGCCATTTGGAGAAATTTAAATGCTATTTTAAACACACAGTCTTGTTACTTGAGTTATTTATGATCTTAAGCGGCTCCCCTCCTTTTGTGGGTTAGATTGTGTCTTCAAAAAGAAAATATATATATTAGAGTTCTAGCCCCTGATGTCTGTGAGTATGACTTAATTTGAAATCAAATTATTTGCAGATGCTGTATAATTATGATATGCTAGATGAGCTCATAATGCATTAGAGTGGGCCATAATTCAATATGGTTGATATCCTCATAAGAAGGGAAGAGGAAACAGAGACGCAGGGAGGAGATGGCCATGTGAGGATGGAGGTAGAGAATAAAGTGAGGTATCCTCCAGCCAAGCAATGACAATGAAGCTCAGTGATCACCCGGTGCTAGAAGAAGCAAGAAAGGATTTTTTTCCAGGTCATTCAGAGAAAAATGCAGCACTGCTAACTCCTTCATTTAAGATTTCTAGCTTTCTGAACCGTAAAAGAATAACTTTATCTCATTTTAAGCGACCTAATGTGAACCACTTTGTCACAGCAGATATAGGAAATTACACCTCCTTAAAGAATGCAGAATCCTGGCCCGTGCTTGCCTCATACCTATTGAATGAGAATCTAAGGGCTCTAGAATCTGCATTTTGAAACTAATACATAATACGCAAAGAGAACTCACTAAGTACTCTACATGCACTTCATCCTCACAAGCCATGAAGTAGTTTACTATTATAATTCTCATTTTACATATGGGAAACTGGAGCATTAAAAGATTAAGTAATTTGCCTACAGTCACTCACATAACCAGAAAGTGGAAGAGCTGGGATTCAATCCCAGTTCCAGACATCCTGATATCCTGGGTTCAGACACCACACACTTAGCAACTATTACACACTTAGCATTATTATTATTATTATTATTATTATTATTATTATTTTAATCACCATCTCCACCTTCTTAAGCACTCAAAAGTTGAAATCCAGTGGTGTGTTGCTGTTTCCATTCATAGCAAGTTATAGCCAAAATCATAAATTACACTTCCTCCAAAACAGTATACTGACTTCTCATCTCTTTTTAAAATCCCTTCCGTCGTTCTTTTCTTTCTTCTCTCCTCTTTTCTTTTCTCTTTTCTTTCTCTTGCTCTGTCACCCAGGCTGGAGTGCAGTGGCATCATCTCGGCTCACTGCGACCTCCACCTCCTGGGTTCAAGCGATTCTCCTGTCTCAGCCTCTCAAGTAGCTAGGATTACAGGTGCCCAACACCATGCCCGTTTAATTTTTGTATTTTTAGTAGAGATGGGGTTTCACATCTTGGCCAGGCTGGTCTTGAACTGCTGATGTCGTGATCCATCCACCTCGGCCTCCCAAAGTGCTGGGATTACAGGCATGAGCCACTGTGCCCAGCCTCTTTCACCCATTGAAATCTCATTTCAACAATTACCATCTTTTTTGAGTGGTATTTTTGAAGTTATAAATGAATTCCCTATAATACATAGTGAGAATATTTATGGGAGCTTCCTAGTTGACTTTCTAAACATTCTGCATTGCTTCTCATTTCCTTCTTTAAATTTCCTTCTACCCTGACTTCCTTAAGACCACTCAATGTTGGCCCCATGCTTTCATTTTTTTCTTTTTTCTTTTTTCTTTTTTTTTTTTTTTTTTTTTTTGAGATGAAGTTTCCCTCTTTTCACCCAGGCTGGAGTGCAACAGTGTGATCTCAGCTCACTGCAACCTCCGCCTCCCAGTTTCAAGAGACTCTCCTGCCTCAGCCTCCCGAGTAGCTGCGATTACAAGCATGTGCCACCATGCCCAGCTAATTTTGTATTTTTACTAGAGATGGGGTTTCTTCATGTTGGTCAGGCTGGTCTCAAACTCCCAACCTCAGGTGATCCGCCCGCCTCGGCCTCCCAAAGTGCTGGGATTATAGGCATGAGCCACAATGCCCAGCCCATGCTTTCTTTTTAATAACTCCTTGCTGCCTAGTTTTTTCATGTCCACTGTGTAACTACTAGTCTTAATGGGTATTTCTTTTCTTACTATTCTGCACCAATGTTTCCCTGATTGACAGTAGTTTTCCTGAAATGTATTCTTGGAATGGAATTGTATGATACGCTTAGAAAATTCTGCATACCTTATACTTCAGAATGTGTATGTAAAAGACTCCAGTAAATGATCCAGGGAAGCAAAAATATTTGTGTGTTTTGCGAGTTGTATTCATATGTGTATAAAATTCCCACAGCACTTTGGGTAACAATGCTCTGCACACTTTTCCTGTGCTCCTTTTATCCATTCCCACACTTCCAGCATTTCCTTTGACGTTTGATTTTCTTTATTTTTTTTTACTCCAATATTTTCCTGTAGGTTTCAAACCTATATTTTAAAATATCAACTGATTCTCCCCCTCTGTCTTCACCACCTGCATCTCAAATTTGACATAGCCATAAACACATTTTATATTTTGGCAAATAAATCTATTTCTTTTAAAGCATTGCCCATCTCAGCTAATGATGATAATATCAAGCCAGTCGCCAAGAAAATTTAGAGTATTTATACCTTGACTCTTCCTTCTAAATGAATTATTAAGTTCAGCTGTTTCTACCTTGAATTACCTTTCTATTCTGCCATTTCTCTTCTGTGTTGCTGCTAATGTTTTAATTTAGTCATTCATCACATCATGCCTGTACTGCTGGAATAATCTTGACTGTTCTTTCTGACTTTTTCTTCTAACTGCATCTCAAAAACTTCTATCTAGAATGAAAATAAGTATATATATATACTATATATACATATATACATATACACTATATGTATGTATATAGTATAAGTATAGACATTCTATATACTATATATACTATATATTTATATACACACACACCCACTATGCTTTTAAAAATTGTTTACTTATGTCCCATCATTGAAGGGTAAAATACAAAATCACTGATATTGAGAGACATTCTCCTCAATCATTTAACATTTTCCTTCACAAACCTGTGCTGTAGCCACACCCAGAACAGGTTATCTTCCTTCAAAGACACACACACTTTTCTATCACTCTCCTTTTACTCCTTCTATTCCATCTGCTTAGACCATTTTTTACTTGTTTTCTGTCTATCTCCATTCATTTTTCAGGATCCAATTAAAATATTGATACAAAGGCTGAGATCTTTATATCTTCTCTTATTTAAATTCCTGGAGCACCAGATAACTTCCTCTATTGTAATTCTTACTGTATACAACCATAACTCTCATTTGAAAGCAATGTACATAATTATAAAATCAGATGTATCATAAAATGATTGGTATCAATATGTGAAAAAAAATCTTTAATGTTGAAAGTACAAGATTACAAGCCATCTGAAAGTAACTGATCATCAATCAGAGAAAAATGCTCATCATTTTTTGATGAAACCAAAAGTAAGAGAATTTGGTATTAATCTACTACATCATTGGTAAGTTACATATTAATTATTGTGAGAAAGAAATAATTGACGGAATTTAAAGAAAATCGGTTTTCCTTTATTTTTATTATTCTACCTAAAAGTATTATATCTAATTAAAATCATGATTTTAAAATTATCCCATCAAGTATGTCATCACACTAAAATCCATTGTATTTAATTTCTCAACTGAGCAATTGTATTCAATTGTATTCAATTTCTCTACTGAAAAATTAATATAAAAGCAATCACATAGCATTCAGAAATTAATAAATATTTAAAGAAATTAAACAGCATTAGATTTTCTTGTAAAATTTTTTTCTTCTCTCAGTATGGCTTATGTCTCTGCTTCTATTGAACATAGCACAATTCAAGTATTAATACAGCACCTTTATAAAAGTTGTGAATCTCAGAAATGAACAAGCTTACCTCCCTAGTTATTTATTAAAAGTTACAAGTCACTTTTTTTTAACTTCCTAATAATCTTAGAGGGGTATATTTTGTGTTTTTGTTTGCTATATCTTTCATAAAGAAGATCCCTAATGATTTGAAAGTTAGAACCAATTTTCTGAAGGATTGAGCCACGCTCCTTGAAGTTGTGTGTTTGTGGGTGGCACACTATGTCTTTTGCAGACCCGGAACCTACCCCTTGGTCTAGAACATATTTTCCTCCACCTGCCTTTTAAGTTTTTATTTCAGCAGGAGTGGGTGGTTTGTGGTTGACCGAAAATAGAACGGGCTACAAAAGCCCTTCCTGTTTGATATTGAATCTGCTATTTGAGTCACCCTTACATTATGAACTGACTGTTAATTAACACATTTGGTAAGAGAATATCCTGATCTGCTTTGCGTGTGAGGCTCTCCCAGTAATAAACAAAGAAGCATAATCAAACAAGATTTTAATTTCTCTATGTCCTGTTAGAAATTCAGATATAATTCAAGTCATCTTGGAAATTTTAAGTTGCATTCTGATGTCGTCTCTGTTCTGGCCATTGTGCAATGGGCCTTCAAATGTTGTAGTAGAGGCCAACTGATATTCCATTGTTATTCATTTATACACAGGTACATATATGGTGTGTGTATGCAAATATATAAATATTCATATATGTGTACATGTGTACATACATACATATGGAGGTAATACAAGTTTGCATTGTTTTTAAAATTTTTTACCCAAATTAACAATGACTCTATTGCATATCTTTATTGGTTATATCACATTTATATAAATAAATTTATATCAGTGACAATTTCCAAGTAAGTGAAATTTGAATTGGATTCAGGGTTTTATTTTTTTGAAATTTCTGATTAAAATTACTTGATTTTTTAAATTTTATCTTAAAATATTCAAGTCCCATTTGTAAAAAAAAAAAATAGAGGATGAAAATGAAGTGTGTCTTTATGAGTCACAAATTTTTATTTTACTTTACTAATTGTTAAAATAATATTTTTTCCATGAGCATTTTATAATGCCCTCTTTATTTTTTTGGTGATGTATTTTTTTATTATTATTATTATACTTTAAGTTTTAGGGTACATGTGCACAATGTGCAGGTTAGTTACATATGTATACATGTGCCATGCTGGTGCACTGCACCCACTAACTCGTCATCTAGCATTAGGAATATCTCCCAATGCTATCCCTCCCCCCTCCCCCCACCCCACAACAGTCCCCAGAGTGTGATGTTCCCCTTCCTGTGTCCATGTGTTCTCATTGTTCAATTCCCACCTATGAGTGAGAATATGCGGTGTTTGGTTTTTTGTTCTTGCGATAGTTTGCTGAGAATGATGATTTCCAATTTCATCCATGTCCCTACAAAGGACATGAACTCCTCATTTTTTATGGCTGCATAGTATTCCATGGTGTATATGTGCCACATTTTCTGAATCCAGTCTATCATTGTTGGACATTTGGGTTGGTTCCAAGTCTTTGCTATTGTGAATAATGCCACAATAAACATACGTGTGCATGTGTCTTTATAGCAGCATGATTTATAGTCCTTTGGGCATATAGCCAGTAATGGGATGGCTGGGTCAAATGGTATTTCTAGTTCTAGATCCCTGAGGAATGGCCACACTGACTTCCACAGTGGTTGAACTAGTTTACAGTCCCACCAACAGTGTAAAAGTGTTCCTATTT
This sequence comes from Homo sapiens, assembly GCF_000001405.40. NCBI lineage: Eukaryota > Metazoa > Chordata > Mammalia > Primates > Hominidae > Homo > Homo sapiens. The sequence goes on along the minus strand of NC_000009.12, from coordinate 63,353,141 downwards.
CTCCACATCCTCTCCAGTACCTGTTGTTTCCTGACTTTTTAATGATTGCCATTCTAACTGGTGTGAGATGGTATCTCATTGTGGTTTTGATTTGCATTTCTCTGATGGCCAGTGATGGTGAGCATTTTTTCATGTGTTTTTTGGCTGCATAAATGTCTTCTTTTGAGAAGTGTCTGTTCATGTCCTTCGCCCACTTTTTGATGGGGTTGTTTGTTTTTTTCTTGTCAATTTGTTTGAGTTCATTGTAGATTCTAGATATTAGTCCTTTGTCAGATGAGTAGGTTGTGAAAATTTTCTCCCATTTTGTAGGTTGCCTGTTCACTCTGATGGTAGTTTCTTTTGCTGTGCAGAAGCTCTTTAGTTTAATTAGATCCCATTTGTCAATTTTGTCTTTTGTTGCCATTGCTTTTGGTGTTTTAGACATGAAGTCCTTGCCCATGCCTATGTCCTGAATGGTAATGCCTAGGTTTTCTTCTAGGGTTTTTATGGTTTTAGGTTGAACTTTTAAGTCTTTAATCCATCTTGAATTGATTTTTGTATAAGGTGTAAGGAAGGGATCCAGTTTCAGCTTTCTACATATGGCTAGCCAGTTTTCCCAGAACCATTTATTAAATAGGGAATCCTTTCCCCATTGCTTGTTTTTCTCAGGTTTGTCAAAGATCAGATAGTTGTAGATATGTGGTGTTATTTCTGAGGGCTCTGTTCTGTTCCATTGATCTATATATCTGTTTTGGTACCAGTACCATGCTGTTTTGGTTACTGTAGCCTTGTAGTATAGTTTGAAGTCAGGTAGTGTGATGCCTCCAGCGTTGTTCTTTTGGCTTAGGATTGACTTGGTGATGTGGGCTCTTTTTTGGTTCCATATGAACTTTAAAGTAGTTTTTTCCAATTCTGTGAAGAAAGTCATTGGTAGCTTGATGGGTATGGCATTGAATGTGTAAATTACCTTGGGCAGTATGGCCTTTTTCACGAGATTGATTCTTCCTACCCATGAGCATGGAATGTTCTTCCATTTGTTTGTATCCTCTTTTATTTCCTTGAGCAGTGGTTTGCAGTTCTCCTTGAAGAGGTCCTTCACATCCCTTGTAAGTTGGATTAGGTATTTTATTCTCTTTGAAGCAATTGTGAATGGGAGTTCACTCATGATTTGGCTCTCTGTTTGTTTGTTGGTGGTGTATAAGAATGCTTGTGATTTTTGTACATTGATTTTGTATCCTGAGACTTTGCTGAAGTTGCTCATCAGCTTAAGGAGATTTTGGGCTGAGACAATGGGATTTTCTAGATATACAATCATGTCTTCTGCAAACAGGGACAATTTGACTTCCTCTTTTCCTAATTGAATACCCTTTATTTCCTTCTCCTGCCTGATTGCCCTGGCCAGAACTTCCATCACTATGTTGAATAAGAGTGGTAAGAGAGGACATCCCTGTCTTGTGCCAGTTTTCAAAGGGAATGCTTCCAGTTTTTGCCCATTCAGTATGATATTGGCTGTGGGTTTGTCATAGATAGCTCTTATTATTTTGAAATATGTCCCATCAATACCTAACTTATTGAGAGTTTTTAGCATGAAGGGTTGTTGAATTTTGTCAAAGGCCTTTTCTACATCCATTGAGATAATCATGTGGTTTTTGTCTTTGGTTCTGTTTATATGCTGGATTACATTTATTGATTTGCATATATTGAACCAGCCTTGCATCCCAGGGATGAAGCCCACTTGATCATGGTGGATAAGCTTTTTGATGTGCTGCTGGATTTGTTTTGCCAGTATTTTATTGAGGATTTTTGCATCAATGTTCATCAATGAAAATCAATATATATCATAACAGCTCTGTAAATGTTTCTCTGAGTTCTGTGAGCCATCCTAGGAACTTAATTGAACCCAGGGAGGGGGCTCATGCGAACCCTTTTTTTTTTTTTTTTTTTTTTTGAGATGGTGTCTCATTCTGTCTCCCAGGCTGGAGTGCAGTTGCAGGATCTCAACTCACTGCAACCTCTGCCTCCCGGGTTCAAGCGATTCTCCTGCCTTAGCCTCCCTGGTAGCTAGGCTTATAGGAGCCCGCCACCACACCCAGCTAATTTTTGTATTTTATTTCATTTATTTATTTTTTTGAGATGGAGCATCGCTCTCTCACCCAGGCTGGAGTGCAGTGACATGATCTCTGCTCACTGCAAGCTCCACCTCATGGGTTCAGGCCGTTCTCCTGCCTCAGCCTTCCAAGTAGCTGGGACTACAGGCGTCTGCCACCATGCCTGGCTAATTTTTATTTGTATTTTTAGTAGAGATGGGGTTTCACCGTGTTAGCCAGGATGGTCTTGATCTGACCTCGTGATCCACCTGCCCCGGCCTCCCAAAGTGCTGGGATTACTGGTGTGAGCCACTGTGCCCAGCTTAATTTTTGTATTTTTAATAGAGACGGGGTTTCACCATGTTGGCCAGGCTGGTCTCAAACCCCTGATCTCAAGTGATCCACCCGCCTTGGTCTCCCAAAGTGCTGGGATTACAGGCGTGAACCACCATGACCGGCCGTGGATGTAGTTTTTAGCCAGGCAGTCAGAAGTATGCGTCGCCTGGACTTGGAATTAGTGCCTGAAGTGGGGCTGGTCTCATGGGATCGAGCCGTCAATCTGTGGGATTGGACACTATCTGCAGGTAGACAGTGTCAGGATTGAATTGAATAAGAGGACACCCAGTTGGTCTCTGTGAGAAATGTTTGGTGTGTAAGGAAAAGCCCCCACACAGCCAGCCACAGAAGTGTGCTGTTGTTGAGTGTGAGAGTACAAGGGAAAAACAGTTTGCTTTTTTGCTTTACAGTGGGATATTTGATCCATAGGTTTATATCTAAGCACATGAATAGAATGTGTTTGGGCCTGGTTTTTTAGTCTTGCTGGTCAGTAACTAGTTTGACAAGAGAGACTAGCACACTGATCCCAAAAGAACTAGGCCAAGAGCAGATAGTATTTGTGGAAACTTGAGCCTCTTATTAGCTCCTTAAAAGACGTACTTTTCTAGACTTCTTTGGAGCCTGGGATTCTAGTACTGGTGAGTTTCCACCGGCAGCAGACTCCCTGAAGATTTGCTAGCCCTCTGCAGGGTTGGCAGGCCACTACCACATTTAATTGGCTCCTAGGGTATGTTCCACACCAGACTTCCCATTGTGGGAAGGCCAAGAGAACTGAAGACACAGTCTCTACTCTGGAGGTGGGGAAGTGGGGGAGGTGGTAATTTAATTAACAGTAGGTGGTGGGTGAGGCGACTTGGTAAGGTAAGAGGACACACAAAGGAAGTAACTGCAGTAAACCTTAGCTGGCAGCACAAGTGAGGAGGTGTGCTTGAAAGAGAAATGGAGTGTCTGGAGGTGGGTGAGTATATTCTGGTAGGTGTGACAAAGGCACTGTTCCTCCAACACCAGTCCTGGGAAAGGCATATGATATGGTTTGGTGCTGTGTCCCCAGCCAAATCTCATGATGAATTATGAGCTTCAGTGTTGGAGGAGGGGCCTGGTGGGAGGTGACTGGATCATGGGGGTGAATTTCCCCCTTGTTGTTCTCGTGCTAGTGAGTTCTGAGATCTGGTTGTTTAAAAGTGTGTGGCACTGCCCCTTCACTCTCTCTCCTGCCGCCATGTGAATATGTACTTGCTTCCCCTTTGCCTTCCCCATGATTGTAAGTTTCCTGAGGCCTCCCCAGCCATGCCTCTTGTATAGCCTGCAAAACTGAGTCAATTAAACCTTGTTTCTTTATAAACTATCCACTCTCAAGTAGTTCTTTACAGCAGTGTGAGAACAGACTAATACAACATGGGATCCCAAGTAACTATGCATTCAGAGAAGAAACACAGGTATGTTTGGGAACTGGATGATGGAAGGTACAGGGAAGCACTGTAGGTAACTTTCATGGGTCCTACACTCTACAACATATTCTTGGGGTTGGAATGAGTCAAACAGGAGACTGATGTCCAGGATGGAATTGGCTGTTTATGTTCCCAGGTGTAGGTCTCTTCCTTAACAGATCACGGTAGCTTCATTACAAATGGCCTGGGAAGCGTACTTAATGCAGAAACCCCAGCAAATTCTTACAGGGGTTAGTCATGCAGTTATACATTTTCATTCTGGGATTTCTAGGGGCTTAATAAAATTCCTTCATTGGATCATTTAATCCAACATAAATTATTTCCCTACACCTACTTTATACTTGCTCCCTGATTTCATACCAGTGAGTATAGCCTGATGTAACTAAACATTCTGAATTTTCAGTGATACCCAGAGAAGAGTGTGATAACCAATTCTCTCAAAAGCGATTTACTGCAAATATTTTCATTTACAGTAAGTCCTTACTTAACATTGTGGATATGTTCTTGGAAACAGTGACTTTAAGCCAAACGAGGTACTGTGTGGCTTCATAACTCAACTCTTTTTCCTATCAATTAGACTATGGGAAAACTGGTTTCATATGCATTATGTCCTTTTGCTTAAAGTGGTAGTTTCCAAGAACCTATCAATGACATTAAGTGAGGACTTATTGTAATCTGATATCTGCGGGTGGATAATTTAAGGAACACATACATAGTTAAGCCTGTAAACTGCTGCAAGTTCCAGATATTATCAGTTCTATTTCTCCACAATTACAATTCCAGTTTTGGGGTTTCTTTTTGCTCATTAAATTTGAAAAGCCAATTCCAGTTTTAAAGCTTGACCCTTTTCTTATAACTTTTTTTATAACTGATAATATATCAGTTATATCAGTTATATTTCTTAGGCTTCCCACGAAACCCTCAAACTGACTCTGAGGGTGGCCTTGCTATCTAATTTACAAAACCGGTTATTTTGGTTTGTGTTCATTTTATTTCCCTTGCATACATTGCTTAGCTGCTTCTGATTATATGCCTCTTAGCCACGGCTGGATAGAAAAGTGTAATAAGAGAAAAGTGTAACTAAGAGACACAGAAGAAAGAGAAATTCCATGAGCACCAGATACTTTTATGGGTGCCTTTTGGAAGCTCTAAATTGAGATGTATCTTTGTTGTCAATTTATGCTATGAATCCAAACGAAAAATGGGGGGAGAAAAACAAGTAGGCTGTAGATGAAAGTGGAAGAAGAAAAATGAGTCTATATATATATATATATATTAGCAGTTGTATGAAAGTATATGAGTCAATATTCCATCAATACCTAGAAAAATAGTAGATCAATATGCTGATTTTAGGGGTGGACACAAAAGTGTTATAAGCGTCTTTTAACTTTTCTTTTTTCCCTCCTTGACTCTGAAGAGAAACACCATTTTTCTACGTATGCAAAGAGTAAAAATTCAGAACTAACATGCAGGGATTAATAGCAGTGAATTGCAAACTCAACTCAGTGGTATAGTACCTGGCAACATTATTACTCAGCATATTTCCCTGGCTGAGGCTGATTTCATTTAAAGTAGTTTTATACTTGTGCTAAAAATAAGTGTACATCCCATTAAGGGAGAAAAGATCTTCTACACAATGGATTGGACCTACATAACCTTATGTACCAGAGAGGAAAACATCATTCTCATGAGTCGCAAAGCTTTCTTCCTCTTGTCAATATGATAAACAGTTTCCAGAAATTGAGAATGACGCTGGTTACTTTCCTTCCTCCTGAACATGCCACACTGAAGAGACAGGGATGACTCCTTCCCTATGGGACAGACACACATGTAGCTTTCCCTGGGTTGTGGAGGAAGGCATGGCCACAACACCATTGGCAGTCTGCTGCAGGGACCTCACGATGAGAGGAAGCAATGGATGCCTGGGCCAGGGAAATGCATATTTGGGAGAAAGCAGGAAATTCTGATGTAGAGATAGGGAAGAACCCTGGGGAAAAGGACCCAAGCTGGGCGGGGAGGAGGAAACCACCAGGATCCCAGGATCAGAGACAAAGGACCCAGGGACACAAACAAAGTGAGGCCAGATGGAGAGGGCAGGCTCACGGGGAGAGCAAGCTCACAGGGAGAGCATGAGCCAAACCTGGCTTATTTCACACTCATCAGAGAGACTGCACAGATGGGGCCAAACCAGGGCCCAGGAGCATCGGAGAGAGGAAGGCCATTTCAAAGACTTTTGTAAAATAAGCTCAAAGTTTCTTTGTTTATTTGTGGGTGTGGGAGTGGAAACGTAGGGAAAGTGAAGAAAGTGGGGGAAAAGGGATGGGTGATTTTGTAGGCAAGATGCTCCCTGAGGAGGTCCTCGTGGACCTGCTGTGGGGAGTGGCATTCTGCACACTCTCATATCATGGGGAGCGCATGACTACATTACTGCTTACACATCTCCAAGTGCAGCTTGTGGGGTGAATGTTTAATTGTCTCACTGTAACTGTCTAAATCTCTGGAAAATGTGAAGGGTCATGCATTTGATTTAAACCTATGAGGTCTGAATGAATTCTCCTCCATGCCTAACCGAGTGAAGCAAGTATATAACCAACCATGCATCCCTAAGCAGGGCCGGTATGAAAGGGAGGAAACGCCTCCCCACTGAGCTTGCAAAGAACTTCATCACTGACCTGAATCAGATCCGGCAGGAAATGAAACACTGAGTACATACTTTTACAGTAGAGGGAGGGGGACGGAAAACAAAGTGAGCTGAACTGAAATGTGAGAAAGAACAGAATGGCAGTGAGTCCATGGGGCAGGGCCGCAGCTTTCTTTTTTCATGGCCCTCAGTCCAGTAACCCCACCCGGCATTCGTAGCGGGTGACATCACTGATGCCCAAACATGCTCCAGCAATTTCCTGCTTTCCAGAGTCCAGCCGAGCCATGATATCAGTGGTGCACCTGGGTAAAGATATGGCAGGGCCGGGTCACAGGGAGTGGGGACAAAGGCCAACCCAGTTAAATAAACTGCTGGTCTTCTAGGGCCTGGTCCCTAGGCAGGCTTCCACCATGAGATAGGTATAGCCCAGGCCAATCCCAACAAGAGGAAAAAAAGCATGTACTTGGCCGGGGGCGGTGGCTCACACCTGTAATCCCAGCACGTTGGGAGGTTGAGGCGGGTGAATCACGAGGTCAGGAGTTTGAGACCAGCCTGAACAATGTGGTGAAACCCCGTCTCTACTAAAATTGGAAAAAATTAGCTGGGCGTAGTGGTGGCCACCTGTAATCCCAGCTACTCGGGAAGCTGAGGCAGGAGAATCGCTTGAACCTGGGAGATGGAGGTTGCAGTGAGCCGAGATCACACCAGTGCACTCCAGCCCAGGCAACAGAGTAAGACTCTGTCTCAAAAAAAAAAAAAAAGAATGCACCCATGCAGTGCCTCCTGTCACCCTCTGCCCAGAAAGGGCACAGGGGCCAGGGTGAAAGAGTTACAGGAAGACAGAGGGAAGGAAACCATGCAGACATAACCACATGGGGGCAGGCCCTAAGCTGCTGGGACCTCCACAGTGTATCCCTTTCCTCCAACTGGGAGACGGAAGCACCGATGGTCTTTCTCTACAGTGCCAGGAGCCACCCTGCCCCCAGAGATGCCCTACAATCAATGACTACCATCTAAATGCTTCTGGATAGTTTCGTTCCTTGTAGATGATATTCCAAATATTATAATTTGTACTTCTCCACAATTACAATTCCAGTTTTGGGGTTTCTTTTTACTCATTAAATTTGAAAAGCCAATTCCAGTTTTAAAGCTTGACGCTTTTCTTAAAAGTTTAACTTCTCTTTTTATTCAGGCTTCCCACTAAACCCTCAAACTGACTCTGAGGGTGGCCTGGCTAATTTACAAAACCGGCCAGGCTGCCTAACCCCTAGATTCCAGCCCAGAGTGTTGCCATAAATTGCTGTCAAGACATGCCTCTATGTCCCATGTTTGCCAGTGAGAAAAGGGTTCATATTCTAAGTTCTTCAAGTCTCTCTCACTGCCTCAATGTGAAGTCAATGGAAAACAGTCAAATACACCAAAAATTAACTTCAAATGGATATCTGCTATGAATTCCAACTTGGTTGGACACCTCTCCAGGCCAACTGTTGTGAAAATGCATTGTTGCTTTAAAAAACACTGTGAGAGATGGCTGGGCGTGGTGGCTTACTTGAGGTCAGGAGTTTGAGAACAGCCCGGCCAATATGGTGAGACCCCAGTCTCTATGAAAAATAAAAATTGAGCCAGATATGGTGGCATGCACTTGTAGTCCACGCTACTTGGGAGGCTGAGGCAGGAGTATCACTTGAACCTGGAAGGCGGAGGTTGCAGTGAGCTGAGATCATGCTACTGCACTCCAGCCTGGGTGACAGAGCAATACTCTGTCTCAAAAAAAAAAAAAAAAAAAAAAAGAGAGAGCGAGAGAAAACACTGTGAGAAGAAAGAAGTCAATCACCCCCTCTCCAATGCCCAACACAGTAAGCAAGAAGGGCCCAGGAAAAAATTAACAGGGAAAAACAATCTTGCATTTGCTTAGTGGAATCTGGGGTTTGCACACATTAGTCAGAGCTAGACAAATCATACTGAATACACTTCTTATAGAAACATTCTAGCTCTTATGGCCTTTCCTTGCTGTCCCAACTTTTGAGGTGCAAAAACACAGCAACACAGCCAGGACCGGCCAGGTGATGGCACGGAGCCCGCTCCCACAGGCTGTGTGTGTGTTCTCACTCTCTTGCAACTGGCCTGAGTTAAGCCTTCTCCCCAAGCACTTGCAGTTTATCATCGCCCTATTTACTGTATTTTCATGTTATAAAAGTGATATACACCCAACGTAGTAATTTGATCTATACAAAAAAGAGAAGAAAAAAAGCTACTCATAATATCACTGTCTAATTTAAGGTTTTGGTGTAGTCTTTCTAGTCTTTTTCTATATGGAATGTAATTTACTTCTCAAAAATATCATTTCATATACTTTGCTTACATATTAGCATTTTTGTCATGAAATTCATGCCAACTGATTAAACAGCCCTTGTAAATTACAGAAACTTAAAGACAATATCAAAACAATGTGACCACAAGACAAAGACCACCTACTACTAAATTATTTTTGGCATGAGATTATTTTTTGAGAAGTTTTATAAACTATTAGGTTTATTGAACACTATAAACTGTAATCCTTGAAAGAATTTTGGAAGCATACCATAACAGGGTAATTTGTAGTAGAATATAGGGTTGGAAAACCTTAAAAAACACTTGCTCATTTCTTCCTATATCAAAGATTTGTATTAGAAAATCTATTTCTTACAAAAAGAGGTACTAAGTGGTATTATGTCAGTCAAGCATCTTGTATTATTTTCTAGCTTTCAATAATATGTATAATGTCATAAAAAAGAGGGAAGAATACACAAAATACACATGAAGCTTACTAGGAATGAAGAAAGTTATTTTAGGAAGGAAAAATTGGTTACCATCAAGGAATATGGAAAACACTAGCAATGCATGTAAGAATGACCTCAAAGGTCTTAGACATCCACGAGCTGGGAATGCTTGTGCTGGGTGCTTCAGTTACAACAGCATGGGGAAGTTAAATAGACTAGTGAAGCTGTTACATCAGTTAATAGTATTTATTATTATTTGTGGTCACCAATGCCAATTAAAACAATAATTAAATAGAACATGATGAAATAATTCAATGGTAGGAAAAAAAAAAATCTGGCCTACAAGTGAACATGGAAAGTAAAAGTAAATATTTAGAAAGTGAAATCAGGAGCGGAAAAAAGCTCCAGCATCTCACCATGGGGTCTTCCAAAGCCAGCAGTACTGGAGATGTTTATTGTTCAAAGATGGACTTGCTTGGGTTGGGATTCTCCAACTAGAGCCAGAGGGGAGATTCTCTGCTTCCCTTGAGGACACAACAAGAGAGGCTTTCTTATAAAGCCTGCCACATTCTGTGCCTGTATTGTTTTATTTACTGGAGTCTATCATAAGGCCTGTGAGGAAAGGACTGAATCTCTTTCTCATAGCCGTTGGGCTGATGGCCCTGCGTGCTGTAGGCATTTAATAATTCACTGAGTAAATGAATGAACCCTGCAGGAGATTGGGAGCCTTTCTGATCTTGAGGTCTCAGTTTGGACTATCTTTCTGGAGTGGATAGACGAATATGTTTTTCAGCAGCACTCTAATAAGCGCACATTGGGTGACTAAGCAGAAGAGTGATTCGTTTTGCTAGAATTTTCCCACCTGCAGGAGCCAGTCCCCCTGGTGTCCCCATTCCCTGTCCCCTCAGTCATCTCAGCAGGAAATTACTATCCTTTCTCCCACATGGGTGATGAATGTTCAAGGCATTTCAGCACACTGTGGTAAGGCCCAGAATGGGTTCAAGTAAAAGTAAATACCAGTCCTTATTAGGAGATCCTGGCCCCTCTGCTGCATGTGTCCCAGTACACATGCAGCTTCCTGCTCTGTCACAGAAAGCAGCCCTCTAGGGCCACTGCCTCCAGTGAGAGTTTCCTGACCTCCAGGAACTTCTGTAGTCAGGCACCACTCCCTTTCCTCACACCCCACACCCTATTGTTCCAGATTTTATCACTGTGCACTGATGCTCACTGCGACCCCACATGTGGCCACAGGAGGAACTCGGCTGAGGGCTGAGAAGACCAGATAATGACACAGAGGGCTCACTTCAGGAAACCCAGAGAGCTGCAGCGGCTCCTCCAGGGCCATTCCACGCATTCATTTTCTAACAAGTCATAAGTCAAAGAGTGACATCAGGAGCGGACAGCCTGGTGTCCAGGCATGAGCCATGGCAACAGATTCTGATTTCCCAGAACGGCTTTGGTCTTTACCTGGTGTTGGATATGGTAGTGTTAGCTGGAGTGGGAGGAGATTCACATTGTATATTTGTTTAGTGACTCCAAAGATTTTAAATTATATTGTGTTTTTTATTATTTTATTCCATTTTTTTAGAGACAGAGGTCTCACTCTATCTCCCAGGCTGGAGTGCAATGATATGATCATAGGCCAGTGTAGCCTCAAACTCCTGGGCTCAAGTAATCCTCCCATTTCAGCCTCCTGAGTAGCTGGGACTCCAGGTGTGTACCATGACTCCTGGCTAATTTTGGTTTAAGTAGAGACACAGTCTGGCTATGTTGCCCAGGCTGGTCTTGAACTCCTGGCCTGAAGCAATCCTTCTACCTTGGCTTCCAAAAGTGCTTGGATTGTAAGTGTGAACCACTGTGTGGGCCCTGGTTTTTGTTTAATGGCTATTAAATGCTCAGAAGTGAATTAAGGTTGCAGTTAAATGCACAATTTTTATATCAAACTATTTTCTTTGCTAATTCACTTCTATCTGCGTCTACCAGCTGTAAACTACCTGAAGCAGAGAAAGTTTCTTTAGGTTGGGGCTTCCTGTAGCCCCGAGCTGAGTGCCTTATGCAGCATTGGCCGAGTGAATGAATTTGTTGGGTGAACTGCTGCGGGGTTTAGAGTCCGCAGAGGGTAGGACAGGACAGATCGTGATCGAGGCTAACCTTCTCATCTACTCTACCATTTCATGCTCTGTTTGGGCACCTCCATCACCCCTCACTTCCCCTGATGGTCCAGTCTCTCTGGGCCTGCACTGTCCAGCCACCCTCTTATCCCTAAGCCAAGGCCTTTGCCAACTAAAGCTCAGGAGTAAAGTGGCCATCACTGAGGCCATTCTATGTATGTATGTCTGTATGTATTTAGAGATGGAGTCTTGCTCTGTCACCCGGGCTGAAGCACAATGGTGCAGTCTTGGCTTACTGCAACCTCTGCCTCCCAGGTTCAAGCAATTCTCCTGCCTCAGCCTCCCAAGTAGCTGGGATTATAGGTGCCCGCCACCATGCCCAGCAAATTTTTGTATTTTTAGTAGAGATGGGGTTTCACCCTTTTGGCCAGGCAGGTCTCGAACTCCTGACCTTGTGATCCCCCCACCTTGGCCTCCCAAAGTGCTGGGATTACAGGCATGAGCCACTGCACCCGGCTGACTGAGGCCATTCTAAGGAATATACAGCAAGCTCTTCACTACCCATTTTTGTTAACTGAGGTATAACTAAATGATACACAGGCCCAGCACAGTGGCACGAACCTATAGTCACAGCAACTTGGGAAGCTGAGGTGGGAGGATTGCTTGAGATCAGGAGTTTGAGTCCAGCCTGGGCAACACACGTGTATAGGTCTATGAGTCTGGAAGAATGTATATAGCCATGGAATCACTACCATGTCAAAACATAGGATATTTCCATTATCCCAAAAAGTTCCCTCCTGCCCCTCTGCAGTCAAACACTTCCCTCCCCCAGCTCCTGGCAACTGCTGATCTGAACTGTAGACCTGAAAATGTCATTCAGAACCCATTTCATCTGGACCCTTCTCTCTGTGTCAACATTGCTGTGAGCGGTGTCTGTGGGATTTTTCTGGACGTTCTCTGCCATGCCCCTGCTCCTTCCTTCCTGCCTTCTGGAAGGCACCCCTGCCAGGAGTCGGCTGCATTAAAGTGGGTGTTTCAGGGGTGTCTTCCTTTACTCTCTTCTCACTGATTTCCAGCTATCCCTGTGTCTCTTGTTTAATGAGTGCCTTCACCCATATCCTTAAACCCACCAGGGCGACCTTCCTGCCCCTTTCTTTGGAGAGCTGTATCTGTATTTCCAGTGGAGACACAGACTGTTCCTTAGATCCTATTAACCCTCTGAGCTCTCTCTCTTCAAGCCAGGCTCATTTCTGGCTTGGCCAATCTGCCTCCTCCCGTGTCCTTTCCATGATACGGTGATGGCATCACCAGCCAGTCACCAAGCTAGAACAGTCCCTTCACCCGGCCCCTACTGTAGGAGGATACTTTTAGAGTATGTCTGCAATTCACCCCCACTCTCTGTATCTACTTCTGTGGCCAAAGTGCGGACCTTGATTTCCTCTGGCCCCAGCTGAATTAACCCACCTCTCTGGGCCTGGTTCTCTTTTCACTAAACATTCTCCACATTGCTGCCAGAGCTATTTTTCTAAAATACACATCAGACCACATTCTTCTCCTCCTTCTTTAAAAACAAAAAATCAAAAAAAAAAAAACCAAGAAACAAACAAAAAACCCACCCTACCGTGGCTCCTCAGTGTGTAGAGATCAGATTCAAGTTCCGTGAGATGGTCTTCAAGATCCTTGGTCATGTGACCCCGTCCTGCTATCCCAATCCCATTCCCATTCCCATCCCCAGCCTCCCCACCTCATCCAACTCCAGCCACATTGGATCACCCCAGGAGAGGATGTCATGTATTAGTACTCTGGTGCCTTTGAGTCAAAACTCACTGTTTTGCCAGTTCAGAGGTTGAGCCCTTTTTGAAGAATCCCCTCTTCTTCCACAGCCCAGGTAAGTTCTACCCCAGGCATAATGAGCTGTTATCCCCCTGGGATCTGAGGGCATTCAGAATACCAACACAATGCTCTCCAGATACCTCTATGCTATTCAAATCCATGCATCTCACACCTGCTCATCTTAAAATCTCTGTGCCTCACATGCAGGAAGAATTCAAATGATGCTGATTGAAAAAACATTGTGTCCAATATTAGATGAAGTATGTAAATATCAAGGCAAGAATCTGCACTTTTTGTCTGTCTATTGCTTGTTTGCACAATAGAGCCACATGGTTTATTATAAAAAATTATTATAATGTATGCTGTTTAAGCTCAGATCACTTTGCACTAATGATGATGATAATGATGGGTTAGAATTTTTTTTCTTTTCTTGCCATGGGATCTGCCAGGTTTTAAGAATTCTTTTTTATTCTAAACCAAATTCAGGAGCACTCCCAAAGACAAGAAATCAAATTTAGGCCACTGATGGTACCAACGGAAGGCTATCACTCTGTAGCTATACCAAATGAAGCCAATCTTCATGGATTTTAAGCACTTTGATAAGCTTTTATATCTCTTCTCCTCTCCTTTACCTCCATAGATAACACAAAATAACAGAATAATCAACCAATAGCAACGTAATCCCATCACAACAACATCAAAAATGAGAATTCATATGATTCAGTAATTTCCTAAGCCAGAACTTCCCACCTGATGTGCTGGGGAAGTGAGAGGGTGAGGACTGCTTTCCCCAGCCCTTAGGGTGACTGGGCAGATCCTGTCTGGTGTGAGCATTCAACCCTACTGATTACATCATTTTGGGTGCTATGTGTGATAAAGGTTGACAACCACTGTCCTAAGCCATTCTACCATTTAAATAGACTGAATTCTCCCAAGTTATGTTCTTACTTGCCTTAGGAAGGAAATTAGTATTATGACTCTAAGGATCCTGAACACATGATCTAAAAAAAGAAAAACCCAAACCACAATGGCAAAGGTAGGTGAGACAGAGTGTTTAGAAAAATAGCGAATACTGTACTATTAATTACTCCCAATTCTCCCTAATCCATGATTTTTAAAGAGCGGGTGGAGCATAACGATTTGAGGCACTGCGACAATGCAGAATGGGGAGGGTTTTTGGAAAATGTGACTCACTCACCGTTCCGACCAAAGGGTAAATGAACCCAGCACCTATGCTGGCCCGGACATCACTGATAGGTAAGATGAAGTCACTTGGCACACCTTTTTTGTCAGGTTGGTGAGACAGAGAAAGATCGGTCTTTGCCATGCAGATGGGCAAATTTCCAAAACCCTGTAAGAAAGGAAAGAAAATGTGTTCACTGATATAGATGTGAGTCTCCTGTGTTTTTCAATTTGCACTTTATACAGTCTCGGCAGCAATGGTATGCCAGCTCAGATCGAGGCACATGCAGGAGCTGCTTGTTACTACTTGTTCACTGAAGAAGCAAGAAGGTGAGGATAAAAACTCATCTCTATGTGATGACTGTTTAGTAGGTCAAGGGTGACTATTGTTTATTTTGGAGGTTCTCGTTAAGAGAAGGCAGTGTTATGTGCAAGTTTGGGAAAAGCATTGCTATTTGCAGGCAAAGCAGCAGCTGTAGAAACCGCTTTCCAAGACTATTAATATCCGGGACCCAGCAAGGTAGTCTGGAGAAAGGCTCTGCGACTAGGCTCTTAGTCATGTTGTTCACTCATTCTGGAGTCAGTCAAGAAGCAAAGGGTTCCTTTGTGTTGGTTTATGAATCATGGTTATTTGATCTGCAACTACATTACAAGAACTAAGATGAGGTCACTATTTAAGCTTCCTGTTTTTAAGGACAAAAGTCTATGTCTGACCCAGAGTTCCAAAGGTGAAAGAGCAGGAAGTCACATGTGGTGTCTCACAAAAAGCACAGTGTCCTATAAGCCTGTTTCTGATTAAATGGCACACAGTGTTCCTTTAGAGGCTTTGCTAATTCATTGCAACCACATACTTGGCACTAACTTTAAAAAAAATAAAAATAGAGATGGAGGTTTTGCTATGTTGCTCAGAGTGGTCTCAACTCCTGGCTTCAACTGATCCTCTGCCTTGCCCCCACAAAGTGCTGGGATTACAGGTGTGAGCACCGTGCCTGGTTGACACGACTTTTAAGGAGTATTTCCTTGATAGAGATAAAGGGAATGAAATCTTTAGTCAAATTTTCATAAGACTTAGCCTAAAACTATTTGGAAGATCTTAGAGTCTTATCAACTTAGGGAGGACTTGGGCTTGGGGCCATTTTCTTTTTGAAATCTCCACTCTTCTATACTGATAAGAATTTTGCTGAGTGAGAATCACAACTGCCTTTCAGAATGGTGCCAGAATTTTGAATTTCAGACATGGTTAAATATTAAAGTAATTTCTATAGGTTTGCTAATGTAAAAATTTTGTTAGTAGGCATATTAAAAAGAAACAGAAACCAACCAGTATGCTATATACTGTCACCAGATTACTTCATAAAAGAAATAACATTTTAACACTGAAAGGAGAAAAGACTTAATATTACAATAAATGATAGTCTTAAATATCATTATTAAAAACTCGGGGAAAAAAAAACAAAGCAACCTCATGAGAATGACCTTATTTTACTTGGTTCATTGCACATGAATGAAAACTTCACCACAATGCCTAGGCACAGAGCAGTGCTTGGGAATCCTTTTTGTAAAGGGTAAGCCAAGAACATCAGGGAAAATTCTAAGAATTTAGAACTTTCTGAGTTCCTATTTTACCAAACCTAGGAGAACAAATACCCTGGCTGGCAATGGTAGCATTTAACAAAATTTCAAATGGGTTTACAAAAAAGAATAAGGAGTTGGAGATTGTTTTTAAAGATAAGGTCAACACTACCAATCATGAAGCTCTTTAGCCAACAGGCTCTTAAAATGTTCTGACTTCTATCTATCTGATTACACCAAAGTAGGAGGGACACTGGAGGCACATGATCCTTTTGGTAAAAGGTGGCTGAGCCTCCTATAATGGAGTTGATTCATCATGACTGTCACTGGACTAGGTGATGACACATGCTGTCAGATCGTAGCCACCTTCCCAGCTGTTTGCCTACTTGCCTTTCTCAGTGGCTAGAGGTAGAAGATGATGGAGCCTTCAACCTCAGTGGACCAGCTCAGTAAAAAGCCAATGAACCGCTTGCATAAGAACAGCAAACATTCCCATCTTTATAGGCTGCACTCCTATCTGCCTACCCTGGCACCTTGCTAGCATTTTTAAGGTAGTAAGAGGCCTGTAAGGAAGAGGAAGCATTGCAATTCATGCAAATCTGACTCCGCAGCTCTACTCCAAAGGATAGTTTCAACGTTCTGGGCTGAGTGGGAGGGATGAAAGATCACACATCACCTACAAACAGGGATACCACCCATATCAGACACATTTATAGTCACAGAAGTAAATCATGCATGGATCAGAGGATACATGCCTCACCATAAAGTTCTAAATATAGTTTACACTCTACCCGAGGATATTGCTTTCATCTTTGTTAACCAGAAAATAGATTAAGCAAAGGTTAGCTGGTGAGACATGTACAAATCCTCAAGTCAAGCTGAGTATTCTGAGAGCCTAAGGTGAATTTTTTCTTTTCCCCTAAAAGTACAACTTTTACCTGCTGAGTGTAACGATCTATTTTGACTTGTGCCTCAGGACAGAGTTCGATATCTTTGGCTCCATAGACAGCCTGGGCAATGGTCCTTATCTTGTCCACAATTGGAAGCTGCAGAAACACAAATTATAACAAAATTGTGTAAGTTTAATCTGGTTAAAGATTTTTTAAAAAGTTTAGTGACACTTACTGTAATTGCTTAAAATTCCCTTATCAGGGTACCCCCTCAGCAACTGCAGGATTCCTCGCAAACCCTCTTTTTTCCTTTTAGCACCCTAAAGCACTGAAATTTTCAGTGTCAGAATAGATCAGATGTCAACTAGCAAATAAGCCTTAGGTGTTCAGGCAATTTAGAGGCTGCTTAGAGCCCACGTAGAATCTGCAGAGGGAGGCCGGGCACAGTGGCTCACACCTATAATCCCAGTACTTTGGGAGGCTGAGGCGGGTGGATTACCTGAGGTCAGGAGTTCGAAACCAGCCTGATCAATATGGTGACACCCCGTCTTTACTAAAAATCCAAAAAAACTAGCTGGGCTTGGTGGTGCATGCCTGTAATCCCAGCTACTTGGGAGGCTGAGGCAGGAGAATCACTTGAACTGGGAGGCAGAGACTGTGGTGAGACAAGATTGTGCCACTGCACTCCAGCCTGGGTGGAGTAGGACTCCGTCTCAAAAAAAAAAAAAATCTGCAGAGGGAAGAGGGAAGTTAGTGCCTTACAGAGGGCTTCTGACTAGGAAGCCCCAGAACTGCGGCCGACCCCTTCCTCTCCCTGCCTCACCCCTGCAGAAAGACCTGCAGAAAAAGCTGGAAGGGGTGGGATGGTGTGTGTGGGGGTGGGGACTGGGGCTATGCAGTTTCCAGACCTGGTCTTTGGCACCCTCTACAGGACAGTTCCATTCCCACACCTGAGCTTTGGACAACTGAATCCTATGCCCCTTCCCACCCAGGGAACCTGGTGCCAGAAATTCCCAGGACTTACCCACCATCCACCACGCCACATAGCAAGTGTCCTCAGTGTCTGCAGACCAGAAACAACTCCCTTGTGTCTCAGCACTGGGCCACCTGCTGAAACCCCAAACTGCCTGCCCCATTGTTTGAGACCCAGTCAGGCCTTGGCTCCAAAAGTCCTCTTGGACTGCCACTGGCCCCCAGGGTCTCTCCTGACTGCACCTCGGTCCCGGAGCTCCCACACCGCTGGGCCCCGAGCCCCATGCCCCGATCCAGCTGTGGCTCCTTTACGGGGGCCTTGCTGGCCTTTCCTAAGGGAGGTGTTTTCCCGAGGGCAGGTGGACTGCTCCTCAGACTAGGGGCCCTCGGAGGGCCAGGCCTGGGCTTCTACCTCCTCTCGCAGGCTGGTGTTTCTCTGCAAATATGGCTCGTGTGTCCTCCTTCCTCTCAGACTGGGGGCCCCTGAGGACTGGGCCTGAGTTTCCCTCTCCCCCTTCAGAATGGGGGTTCCCTGAGGACTGACCCAGGGCCTCCCCCCGTCCCCTCCATCTGGCTGTTAATCTCCAACACTTTCACCTCCAGTCCTATTCTGCACAGCGCTCCCCAGCGCTGGGAGCTCAGAGGCCTCTTCAGCCTTCCCCAGGGCTGGGGCTCAGGGAGGGCTTCCTCAGGCGCTGGCCCCAGAGTCAGGCTGCACATTGGCTTGGAGGACAGGCCTTTCCTCTGGGACTGTGAGGCCCAGAGTGCCCACCCAGAACTCCACCTCTGACCTCACAAAGGCCTGCTTCAGAACTCGGTCTCCACTGCACTGCTGGCCAGACGAGGGATGTTATTTTGGGCAGTGCATCTGGACTTGGTTCAAGTGGCACCAGCCAAATCCCTGCCTTACTGACCTCTCCCCTGGAGGAGCAGGAGCAGTGCTCAAGGCCGCCCTGGGAGGGCTGAGAGGCAGGCTCTGGACTGGGGACACAGGGATAGCTGAGCCCCAGCTGGGGGTGGAAGCTGAGCCAGGGACAGTCACAGAGGAACAAGATCAAGATGCGCTTTAACTGAGAAGCCCCCAAGGCAGAGGCTGAGAATCAGAAGACATTTCAGCAGAGTGAGTGGGGCTCCAGGCAGGGTGGGGATGGGGCAGCCTCCTCAGTGCCCAGATCTGGAAGGGCCATTCCCTGGGTACCATACAGCGAGGAGGTGACTGAGGGATTGTTTGGGGAAGGAGCCCCGGCTGGGAGTGGAAGTCCCGGCTTTCTTGTTATGGTGCAGTCCTGTGTTGCTGTGTGACACAGGCACATACACCTTCTCTCTGGGCCTCAGTTTCCTTACCTGTAAGTTGGTTGTTGGGAGGACCAGCGGTAGAGCAGAGATGGCAGGGATGCACTGGGCTGGGCTGTCAGCAGACCATGGGGGTGGGACGAGGAGAGAGCTGAAGACCACCGGCAGTGGACCACAGGGGGAGGCATGCAGGCCAGAGACGGGTCAGCTGCCGGCTTGCTGGAGTCATTCCTCCCACGCAGTCCCCTCCTGAGGGGCTGGAGCTGGGGCTGGAGGGTTTCAGCAGTCAGGGCTGGAGATAAGAGTCTGTGCTGGAGCTAGAGGGAACTGGGCTAGAGAATCAGGAGGACAGACAGGGTGAGGGGACTTCGGGCTACCTTCATGCTGTCAGTTAGAGATAAAGATAGGAGTACAAAGGGGAATTTTTGGGTGAGGTACACGGGTGAAATGAGTTTTCAGGGCCTCATCCTGTGTGTTCACCTTCTGTGTGTGTGTGTGTGTGTGTGTGTGCATGCGTGCATGTATGTGTGTGTGCAGGTCCTGGACAGTCACAGCTTAAGTTAGCAGCAAGAGAACTTGAGGTTAAAGGTATAGCACGCAAATATGAGGCTGGAGCCACTGAGTAGAGGCTGAGGGCATCTCCACAGTCCAAAGCTGGGCTGCAGACAGGGAAGGTCAGCAGGAGCACTGGAGGGTCTGGCCTGGGGTTGGGGTCCTGGGGCCAGCATGGGTGGGGTGGGGCTCCAGGGCGTCACCTCATTGGCTGAGCACCGCTCCTCCCTCCCTGTTCCTTGGCTGGGTTAAGGGAGTGGCACTAGCAGGAGCTGCCCCAGGGCTTCTCCCCTGGGGACAAAGGTCTGATGGAAGTGTGGGGCCAAGTTCTGTGTCCTCCAGCCCTAGTGACCTCTCTTTGGCTCCTCAGCATCTACAAATCTGAAGGACAAAACATGGTTCAAGCATCTGGGCACAGGCGGTAAGTACCCCACCTTCTTCTCACCCTCCAGCCCCCTGTCCTCCACCCAGCCCACTTCAGTGCCCTCCCTGCTCCATCCTCAGCCTCTCCCTTGGGGCAGCTGTCCCCCCTCGACCTCCTCCTCCCCACCCACCCACTCACCTCTGAGGTCCCAGAAGAAAAGCATCTTCCACCTGTTGCCTGGGCTGGGTCCTGGGGTGAGGGGAGGCTCAGAAATACTTGGATGAGGGTCAAGGCATGCAGGTGGCCTTCAACTCAACTGCACTCAGCACCTCTCACCCTCTCAGGCTCAGCTGTCTTTGGGGTGAAAAAGAGCCAGTCCTTGCAATGGCCAAGGCCCTGCCTATGTAGTCCTTGTTAGCTTTCTGGCCTCCCCACTCCAGCCCCCTGCTCTCCCTCCTCCAGCCACACTGAGTTTCTTTTCTGGTTTTTTTTTTCTTTTTTTTTTTTTTTGAGATGGAATCCAGTTCTGTTGCCCAGGCTGGAGTGCAATGGCAAGATCTTGGTTCACTGCAACCTCCTTCTCCCGGGTTCAAGCGATTCTCTTGCCTCAGCCTCCTGAGTAGCTGGGATTACAGGATTACAGGCACACACTACCATGCCCAGCTAATTAGTTGTTTGTTTTTTTTTTTTTTTTTTTTTTTTGTATTTTTAGTAGAAATGGGGTTTCGCCATGTTCGCCAGGCTGTTCTTGAACTCCTGACCTCAGGTGATCCACCCGCCTCGGCCTCCCAAAAGGTTGGGATTACAGGTGTGAGCCACTGCACCTGGCCTCACACTGACTTTCTTTGCTTTCTTTAAACATGCTGAGAGTCCTCTGGTGACTATTCCCTCCATCTGAGAGGCTTTCTGCAGTTAACATACAGCCCACTCTCATCTCCTTCATGGCTTTGCTCCAAGGCCACCTTCTCAACAAGGATTACTCTGACTGCCCTATTTGAAATCACACCCCATCTCCAGCCCCTGCACTCCCAATTCCCCTCTCCTTGCTCTGTTTTTTCCCATAGGAGCTGGTACCTTCGCTTATACAAATGTACTTACTTATTACATTTCATTGCTGTCAGCTCCACGCAAGCAGGGATATTTGCCTGTTGTACACTTGGACGGAGAGAATGAATAGTGCCCCTCTGTTGACATCATTGCCTCTAGCCTACGTCTCTTTCCAGGGCTTTAGATCCTGTTTCTAGAGACCCACTGGTGTCTCACAGGCAACTCAGCTCCTAGATGGAAACAGCCTCCTCCGCCCCCCACAAGTCCACTCCTCCTGTGCTCTTGGCTCAGTCAGGGGTCCCCTTCTCTTCAGTTGCTCAAGCCAGAAGTCAAGGTCATGTCCTTGATACTTCCCTCTTCCCCATGCCTCACATCCAGTCACCAATCTCCTAAAATATCTAGAATGTGCACAGCTTCCACCATTCTTTCTACCACCACCCTACTCCCCCATGGCCATGTCAGGCCACCACCCGCCCATTCTTCAAAACTCCCTTCAGGCCTCACCTCCCATGCCTCCCCTGAGTTCCCCCAGTCCCAGGCTGCTTCTCTCTGGTGGTGTTGCCATTACCCATCTCTTCTATTAAACAGAGTGACCCAAGAGTGGAGAGTGGGTTTTGACTTTGTATCCCTGGTGCTTGACTCATAAGTAGGTGCTCAACAAAAATTTTTTCTTTTTTTGAGATGGAGTCTTGTTCTGTTGCCCATGCTGGAGTGCAGTGGCATGATCTCGGCTCACTGCAACTTCTGCTTCTTGGGCTCAAGCGATTCTCACATCTCAGCCCCCACCCCAGCTGGGATTACAGGTGCCTGCCACCATGCCCAGCTAATTTTTTTTTTATTTTTAGTGGAAATGGGGTTCTGCCATGTTGGCCAGGCTGGTCTTGAACTCCTGACCTCAAGTGATCCACCTGCCTCGGCCTCCTGAAGTGTTGGGATTACAGGCATGAGTCACCATGCCTGGCCAACAAATGTTTGTTGAATGAAGAAATGTTGGCTAGCAGGTTGAATTGTTGGCTCGTGGTTAGTTGGATAGTTTATGGTTGACTGGTTGATTAGATAATTCAATGAGTTAATAGCTGGTTAACAGGAGAATCAGTTAGTTGGTTTTTGATAGGTTAGTCAAAGGGTTAATAAGCCACCGGGCATGTTGGCTCATGCCTGAAATCCCTGCACCTTGGGAGGCTGAGGCTGGAGGATTGCTTGAGTCCAGGAGTTTGGGACCAGCTTGGGTAACATGGCAAAACCCCATCTCTACAAAAAATAGGAAAAAATAGCCGGTCATGGTGGCATGCTCCTGTAGTCCCAACTACTTGGGAGGCTGAGGTGGGAGGATCACTTGAACCCTGGAAAGTCTAGGCTTCAGTGAGCTGTGACTGTGCCACTGCACTTCAGCCTGGGTGACAGAGTGAGACCCTGTCTCAAAAAAAAAAAAAAAAAAGAAAGAAAAAGAAAAAGAAAAGAAACAGGCATTAGTGAGTTGTTAGCTATTTAGTTCCTTGGTTAACAGATTACTTAGGGGATCTGGTTGGCTGTCAGTTTCTTGCTTTGTAGGCTGGCTTTCTTGGGCCCCTCTTCTTAGTCTGTACCCTCTCCTTGAGCTCTCTCATCTATGCCCATGGCTCAGATGACCATCTGTGATTTGCTGTCCTCCAAATGTGTCTGTAAGTGAGACCACATGACCAGCTGCCTCCTCACTGGCCATCCCACCCAAGTGTCTAGCGGGCTCCTCACACTCAACATGTCCAGAAAGGGCCTCCTTGTCCATTCTTTCACAGCTTCTCTGCTGTGCCCCACGCTAGTCATTCCGCTGCCCTAGCCAGGACCTGAGGGCATCGCTGAGCTGCCCCGCTCCCTTCCCTCTCTAACCGAACACCAAGCCTTTCAGCTTGACTGTGCTCTTGTGGCCATTGGCACTGCCATCTCTGTGGCTCAGGCTGCCACCACTTCTCCACCCATCTGTGGAGAAGCTGATGCTCACCCTGCCTCCACTCCACTTCCTCCATCCTGGCCTCCACAGGGGAGGCAGCTCTCCTGCTGAAACCCTCCACTTGGCCCATGGCCCTCTGGTAGAGTTCAGACTCCCTAATGTGGGCCATGAGGCCTTCTGCCACCTGGCCCTGGCCCCTCTCTGCCCATCTCATGCCACCTCCACTCCTCCGTGGCCAGCCCATTCCTGCACATTGGATACTGCCTTAGCTGCAGGCCTTTGCACATGCCAGTCCTACGCCCAGAGTGATCCCTGCCTCCCTGGAGGCTCCTTTACCCTCCAGCCTTCTTTTCTTGACCTAAATTTCCCTTTCTCTGGGAGCCTCCTACCCCCTCCTCTAGGCCATTCACTTCTTCCACATGCCCCACGGTGCCCACTCTTTCAGCTGGGGCAATGCTCATCACACTGCATAGTAATTGCTCAATTGATTGCTTTTCTTCCCACAGGCTGGATTGTACCAGTGTCCTTTACTGCAGTGACTGAACATTCTAGGCACAGTAGATTCAAGAAATCTTGAGTTCATTGGCTGGTTGGTGGTTATCTGTTGCTTACTGTGTCTTGCCTGCTGTGTGGTGATGAGGAAGGAGCCAGGCTTCCAGGATTCTCTTGGTGTTCTTGTCTTTCTGCTCTGTCCACTTCTCTCTCCTCTTCTGTAGTTACCTCCAGCATGGGAGGTGGGGTTGGATGGGAGCCAGTGGAGGGTCACCTCGCCCTGCTAGGGAGAGCAGCAGCATTCCTCAGGGCTCCTAAATTCCCCTGACCTCACAGCAGCAAAAAGTAAGCAG
Source organism: Homo sapiens (assembly GCF_000001405.40). NCBI lineage: Eukaryota > Metazoa > Chordata > Mammalia > Primates > Hominidae > Homo > Homo sapiens. The sequence goes on along the minus strand of NC_000009.12, from coordinate 63,329,303 downwards.
AGGGAATGAGAGACGTCCAGGCATGGAATAAAACATCTTCCACTTTTCAGCTGAGACCCTCTGTTCATAGCTCACCCATCCCAGTCCTTGCTCTATTCCTTACCCCAGAGAAACAAAACCAGGGATGAGTAGATGGAAGGGGATGCAGAGTTGCGCGGATATTCCACTGGCCCCCATCCAACTCCAGCTCCCATGCAGCATCGTATAGGGGTCTCATTATCCCATGACCAGCCTCCTCAGCCCTGAAGAAGAGACCCTACCAATGCAAGCAGCAGCCCAAAGACAGTCCTGGGAAGGTACCATAGAGGCAGGGGAGAGGTAGACAGAGCAGGGAGCCAAGAACACCAAGGGAATCCTGGAAGCCTGGCTCCTTTCTCATCAGCACAGAGCAGGTAACAACCAGCCAAGGAACCAAAGATTTATTGAATCTACTATGCCTACTATGTTCAGGCACTGCAGTGAAGCAAACTGGTATGATCCCAGCCCTTAGGAAGAAAAACCGTTAATTAATTAAGCTTTTTTTTTTTTTCTTTTTTGAGACAGGGTGTCGCTCTGTCACCCACGCTGGAGTGCAGTGGTGTGATCTCAGCTCACTGCAACCTCTGCCTTCTGGGCTCAGGCAATCCTCTCACATCAGCCTCCCCATTAGCTGGGACCACAGGCGTACACCACAACACCTGACTAATTTTTGTATTTTTTTTTTGTAGAGATGAGGTTTTGTCATACTGCCCAGGCTGGTCTTGAACTCCTGGGCTCAAGCGATCAGCTCGCCTCGGCAAGTGCTGGGATTACAGGTGTGAGACACTGTGCCTGGCCTAACTGAGCAATTACTATGCAGTGTGATGAGCATTGCCCCAGCTGAAAGAGTGGGCACCGTGGGGCATGTGGAAGAAGTGAATGGCCTAGAGGAGAGGGTAGGAGGCTCTCCCAGAGAAAGGGAAATTTAGGTCAAGAAAAGAAGGCTGGCGGGTAAAGGAGCCTCTGGGGAGGCAGGGGACCATTCTGGGCGTAGGACTGGCATGTGCAAAGGCCTGCAGCTAAGGCAGTACGTGATGTGCAAGGATGGGCTGGCCAGAGGAGTTGAGGGGCTGGTGTCAGCTTCCGGGCATGCAGACAGTGAGATAGCAGAGTGACTAAGGCCACACTTAGAGGTATCTGTATCCCTCTTCTTCCTCTTTTTTTTTTTTTTTTTTTTTTTTTTTTTGAGATGGAGTCTCGCTCTTGTTGCCCAGGCTGGAGTGCAGTGGCAAGATCTCGGCTCACCACAACCTCCATCTCCCATGTTCAAGTGATTCTCCTGCCTCAGCCTCCGAAGTAGCTGGGATTACAGGCATGCGCCACCATGCCTGGCTAATTTTGTATTTTTTAGTAGAGATGGGGTTTCTCTATGTTGGTCAGGCTGGTCTCGAACTCCCGACCTCAGGTGATCTGCTCACCTTGGCCTCCCAAAGTGCTGGGATTATAGGCGTGAGCTACCGGGCCCAGCCCCTCTTCTTCCTCTTTATCCTCCAGTCCCACCCCGCCACCTTCCCCAAACTCCAGTCCTATACCTCTCCCTATACGCAGATTTGGAACCTGTTACTCACCTGTTTCATCTACCTTTCCATCTAATCGTGCACTTAACTAAATATAAATCAAGTGCCAGGCCCTTTGGGAAGCTCTGAGGATCTAGTTGGGAGTAAGACAGATTCCCCAGTTTTCACCCATTCAACAAATACTTATTGCACATCTACTATGTGCCTGGCATGGTGCTGGGCACTGAAGATACACCAGGAAGTAGATCCAGTCCTTCCTTTTCTCCCTCCCTCTCTCGGTCATTCATTCATTCACTCACTCTCTCACAAACCTCTGTTTGCACTGACCTGGTTGCACAGCCTGGTGCATTTTGCTGACCCCTTCATTTTTGACAGAACCTGGCGCATGTTTCAGTGTTCAGTGCTGTTTACAGAGCTCGGCAGCAGACTTTGTCACACCTCATGCTGTTTGTAGAGTGCCTCACTGTTGCCAGGCCCTGGCCTGTGACCCCAAAGTTCTGGCTCTAGCAGATAGGCAGACAGACAGATGGACAGACATAGACTACTGAGCTCTACTTTCCAGCCTGCTCTCTCCCACCCTGCTTTTTCCCAGAGGCTTGTTGGCACCGTGGATTGCACTTTCAGCTCCCCACCTGCCCGTCTGCAAAGTGGCCTCATTGGTGTGCCATTTTTACTGGTCCAGTCCCAACTACAAGGGGCATGGCTTGGCCATCTACCCCAGTTCCTCTCCATGTCCCCATGGCTCTCAAGTGTCTCCAATTCCAGCTGTCCCAGCTGCCCCGGGCAAGAGGAGGTGTGTGTGGCAAGTCTGCTGGGTTACCTATTAACTCAGCTGTGAGTTGAAGAGCCGATGGGCAGCAGGCAGACTTGAGTCTCCTTTCTGTCCATGGGCTCGGGCCACTGTATCAGGTCCACCCGTGGCTCCAAAATGGTCTCCTGGTCCGTGATAGCAAAGATCCAGGAAATATGGTGCGAGGAAGATGAGAGGAAGATGGCGCGAGAGTTCCTGGCCGAGTTCATGAGCACATATGTCATGATGGTGAGTGGGTGGGCAGCACAAAGTGGGTGGGCTCTGCCAGGGCCTTCCATGACCCCCTCCCCATTCTGACCCCATGGGTCACATTGTCCATTCCTTGCCTCTGAGCTGGGAGCCTGGGGAAGCAGCGAGGAAAGTAAGGAGGGGGGGCTTTCTCATCAAGTCTTTTTGGACAGAAAGGGCTCATAATATGTGGGGGTCAAATGAAACCATGCACTGGGGTATCCAGGGCAAGGCTGGAAATGGGGAGAAGGGAAACCCAGAGTAAAGAGATTGAAGAGGCCCAGGTGCAGTGGCTCATGCCTGTAATTCCAGCACTTTGGGAGGCTTAGGCAAGTGGATCACCTGAGGTCAGGAGTTCGAAACCAGCCTGGCCAACATGGTGAAACCCCGTCTCTACTAAAAATACAAAAATTAGCTGGGCATGGTGGCGGACACCTGTAATCTCAGTTATTCAGGAGGCTGAGGCAGGAGAATCACTTGAGCCCAGGAGGTGGAGGTTGCAGTGAGCTGAGATCACACCATTGCACTCCAGCCTGGGTGACAGGAGCAAAACTCTGTCTCAAAAAAAAAAGAGAAGAGAGAGATTGAAGAGAAACTTGATGATCAGGCTCTGATAATGAATCCAGAGGGCAATGGGCGATGTTGAAGGCTGGCAAGCAGGGGAGTGACATGATCAGATTTGGATTTTAAAGGTAATTTTGTGTGCAGTGTGGAGCATAAGCAGGACAGGCAAGGCTGGCAAGAAGGAACCAGTTAAGAGGCTGTTTTTGATCTGGGACAGAGAGAGGGTGATGACTGATCTGGGGTTGGAGAAGAAAGCACATGTTTGAGAGGGCTGTGGGAGATGGAATCGGGGAGACTCTGCCAGCAGAACATGTGGGCAAAGCGCCGATGAGCTGTTCTGGAGCACGGGGCCCAGCACAGGGTGAGAGGCAAGATGCCTGTGGGGAAATCCAGGAGATAGTTAAACACAGGCAAGGGGCTGGAGCTCAGGAGAGGCTTGGTCTGGAAGGAAAAAGTTGAAGTTCATCACAACACAGGTGGTGGTTGTCAACACTGTCTAGAAGGAGTGTACAGAAAGAGAAAAGGATGGTTTGAGGACAGAGCCCTGAGGAATGAAGAGGGGCACGCAAAGGAGCCTGAGAAGGAATGGTCAGAGAGGTGGGAGGAGAACCAGAGCCGACTGCATGACAGAGGGGGGCAGTGGTTCCACCAGGAAGAAGCCATCAGCGGCATGGGCAGCGGCAGATGGGCCACGCAAGGTGAGCACTGGCAAGGGGCCTTAGGGTTTGCCAATGTGGAGGTTGCTGGTAACCTTGACAAGGGCTCTTCTTTAGTGTGTGATTGGGACAGAATCCAGACTGCAGGTGGGATGTGAGGTTGCTCCCTCTGCACCTGCTTCAGCCCTGCCACTTACCCCAGTGAGCCTCTGCCCTTAACATGACTGTAGCCATGTTTATTGCATCTTATGCAGGGTCCAGGGTCTAGAGAAAGAAGGGGCAGCCTCTGGGAAGGGAGGCAAAGGCAGCCAGGTGCATGCTAGAGGAAGGTGGGGTGAGAGAGGCTGTTTGTGTGTGTGGTGGGGCCCATGGAGCTCAAGGGAGAGAGGAAATTGGAACACCAGGTTTCTTAGCCTGACCCTGCCACTGAGTGACCAGTTGCCTTGGGCAGGTCTCTCCCTGGCTTAAAGCCTGACTTCTCACTTATATGGTGTAGAATTAGGCCTTCGTGGGCTTTGGAGCTGCGTTTGAATCCTAGCTCTGTTATCTTCTAGCTGTGCGACTATCCACAAGTATCTTAACTGTTCACAAATTTAGCTTTCTTGTTTTTGAGACAGGGTCTCACTCTGTCTCCTAGGATGGAGTGCAGTGGTACGATCTCAGCTCACTGCAGCCCCCACCTCCCATACTCAAGTGACTCTCTTGCCTCAGCCTCTTGAGTAGCTGGGACTACAGGCATGTGCCACTGTGCTCAGCTAATTTTTCTATTTTTAGTAGAGATGGGGTTTCACCATGTTGGCCAGACTGGTCTCGAACTCCCGAATTCAGGTGACCTTCCTGCCTCGGCCTCCCAAAGTGCTGGGATTGCTGGCGTGAGTCACCTCTCCCGGCCCACAACTTTAGCTTCCTTATTGGTTAACAGGAGGACTTGTGTGAAGAAGGCCAAGTCTCAGCACCCAGTGTGGTACCCATGTATTGGTCCCTTGTTATTAGGACGGGTGCTCTAGCTGCTGTCTCCTCTCTGTCTCTGGCCCTCCCCTACTCCTCTCTTACCTCCCCACCTGCTTTGGCTCCTGAGCTGTGAGGACAGCAGTTGGATCCTGTCCCTCCTTAATCCAGGGCAAAGTAATTCACTTACCACAAGACATTCCAGCCCCATGAGGGCTGTTAACCCTTGGAGCCTCGGAGGCAGGAGGGTGCATCCTCTGAGAGCTGTTAGGGAAATAGGCACCGCCCACATGCTTGATACCTGCCCACATCTGTGTTCCTCTTCCTTTTGTTGAGATTTTCATTGAGCACCTAATGCATCCTGGGCTCTGTGATGCTAAGCCCCTTACGTGCAGCATCTTCCCAAATCCTCGCAATAGCCCTGTGAAGTAGGTACTATTATTATCCCAGTTTCACAGATGGGAAAACTGAGGCTCCTTGAGACTAAGCCTTTTGCCCAAGGTCACACTTTAAGTCAAGATTAAATCCAGTGCAGTCTAATATCACAGTCTTTTTTGTTTTTGTTTTTGTTTTTTTGAGATACAGTCTTGCTTTGTCACAGTGGTGCAATCTCGGCTCACTGCAACCTCTACCTCCTGGGTTCAAGTGATTCTTGCATCTCAGCCTCTGGAGTAGCTGGAATTACAGGTGCATGCCACCATGCCCAGCCAATTTTTGTATTTTTAGGAAAGACAAGGTTTCACCATGTTGTCAAGGCTGGTCTTGAACTCCTGACTTCAAGTGATCCTCCCACCTCGGCCTCCCAAAGTGCTGGGATTACAGGCATGAGTCACCGTGCCCAGCCCAATATCACAGTCTTGACCCTTAACCTCTATGCTCTGTACCTTAGCTTAAATATTGCCAGCTTTTAAAGACTGGCTTGTTAATGCTCCCCCAGCCAGGGTAAAGTCCTCACTTTCAGGTAGTTCAAGATGCCTCTCTCGGCCTCAGTTTCCCCACTTATAGAGTGGGAGAAAAATTCTTGCTGTGCAGATTTGTTGTGAGGATTGAAGACAGTAGCACTTGTAAAAGAACTTTGTGAGGCGTAAGCCTATATCGGATATTGTGGTGTTGTTATTTTTAGTTGCCAGGCTGTGCCAAGAAGTGAGGGCTTTTTTTTTTTTTTTTGTAAATATATATATAGGAATCTCAGTGAGTCACCAGGGTGAAGTTTTGCCAAAAAAGCTAGTGTGACCTTGGCCCCATTTATTGCAGCCAGGACAAGGGAAGTGGACTGATCCGTGTTGCAGCTTCCAGGTGTGTTGCCCTTGGAGCTGGCCTCCTGGCTGTGGGGGAGAGTTGGATGGGCTGGGCCACATTCACTGATCAGGGAGAGGAGGGGCTGGAGCCATCCGGGCCCTGGAAAACCAGCCATACACATGAGACACGGGGCAAGGGTTGTAGATCACATGCTACGGGGGCCAAGAGAGCGGCAACTCAGGGCGGTGGGGACTTTGGCTGGCTGCAGAGTGCCAATCTGTGCAAGGCTGTAGAGCTGCTGCCACTCCAGCTGACTGTTGCCATGGAGGGTGGAATGCAGGCCAGTGTTGCTTGAGCTGCTCATTTTTCAAGAGAGACGGAAACTTCTGTTCTTCAAAACCAAGTTATCTAAACAAAATCTGTGCGCTGGATGAATTAGGTGCATGAGTTGCCAGTTGGCAACCCTGACACAAGGAATCATGTGGGGTTCATTCACTCACCCAGTATTTTATTTTATTTATTTTATTTTTTTGAGACAGAGTCTCACCCTGTTGCCCAGGCTGGAGTGCAGTGGTGTGATCTCAGCTCACTGCTCTGCCTCCCGGGTTCAAGTGATTCTCCTGCCTCATCCTGCCGAGTAGCTGGGATTACAGGCATGTGCCACCACACCTGGCTAATTTTTTGTATCTTTAGTAGAGACGGGGTTTCACCATGTTGGCTAAGCAGGTCTCAAACTCCTGACCTCATGATCGGCCTGCCTCGGTCTCCCAAAGTGCTGGGATTACAGGCGTGAGCCACCACACCCGGCCTATGCTCATCCAGTATTTTTAGCACATGGTATTGGAATGCGGGAAAGGCCATGGGGGCCCCTCTGTTTTCAGACCCTCCATGCCTCCTCCAGTCCCTCTACCTCTTGACCCTGCCAGCCTGTCAACCTGTCCTGACCTCACTCCCCCCTGCACCCCCATCTGTTCCTGTCCTCTCCTGCTGTATCTTATCCTGGATCTGAAGCCAGCCTAGCTCTGGGCTCCCCTGCTCCTGTCCTGGGGCTTCTGAGGGACCCAGTGGGCCCTGCTCAGCTGCCTCTCCCCCACCATATCTGGGCTATTTCACATTTTCTCAGACTTCCCCAAAGCTGCTCTGTACTCTTTTTTTTTTTTTAAATCAGCAAATGGCTTGATCTGCTGCTTGATAGGTAAAATAATCAACACTTCCTATGTTCAGCTCACCCTCTTGTCCCTCTTACCACCAGACCCGTTAACCACCCGTGTATCCACATATCACCCCTTGGCTGGGGTGGGGTCCTCTCCTTCCTGGAGGACACCTCCACTTCTGCACCAATCCAGCTGTCCAGCCTATTCAGGTACTTTACTCTGTCCTTTTTCTCTGTCCTTTATCTTCAGCCCATCCCTCTCTCAGCCTATAAACATACTGAAGTTTCTCCACTGAAAACAACACAAAATGAAACATCCCTTCCTTCACCCTGTCAGCCCCTTCACGGGATCATGTTCTCTCTTCCCCGCTCCTCAGGCGAATTCTCGAAGAGGAGTCTACACTGGTGCCTTTCAACTCTTTTTTTTTTCTTTTTTTGAGATGGAGTCTTGCTCTGTCGCCCAGGCTGGAGTGCAGTGGTGTGATCTCGGATCACTGCAAGCTCCACCTCCTGGGTTCAAGCAATTCTCCTGTCTCAGCCTCCTGAGTAGCCAGGATTACAGGCAAGCACCACCACGCCTGGCTAATTTTTGTATTATTAGTAGAGACGGGGTTTTGTCATGCTGGTCTTGAACTCCTGACCTAAAGTGATCCATCCACCTCGGCCTTCCAAAGTGCTGGGATTACAGGCATGAGCCACCGCACCCGGCCTGGTCTGCCTTCTTACCTTGTACCCTCTCCTGGGGCCTTCTCCTCTGTCGGCTTTGACTTTGGCCCTTATGTCTACAATTCTTCAGGTTTTCTCCTTTATCAACTCTAGAACAGAGTTCTCCAGGGGAAATACAATACAAGCCATCTGTATAATTTAATTTTTTCTAGTATCCACATTAAAAAGGTAAAAAGCAACAGGTGAAATTAATTTTAATAATTAACCCATATAGCCAAAATCCTATTTCAAGATGCAATCAATGTAAAATTATTAGGATATTCTGGCCAGGCATGGTGGCTCACACCTGTAATCCCAGCACTCTGGGAGGCTGAGGTGAGAGGATTGCTTAAGGCCAGGAGCTCGAGACCAGCCCGGGCAACATAGTGAAACCTCATCTCTACACAAAATAAATTGAAAAACTTAGCTGGGATAGGGCTCAATGGCTCATGCCTGTAATCCCAGCACTTTGGGAGGCCAAGGCAGGCTGATCATCTGAGGTCAGGTGTTTGAGACCAGTCTGGCCAACATCGTGAAACCCTGTCTCTACTAAAAATACAAAAAAATAGTTGGGCATGGTGGCATGCACCTATAATCTCAACTACTCGGGAGGCTAAGGCAGGAGAATCACTTGAACCCGGGAGTTGGAGGTTGCAGTGAGCCGAGATTGCGCCATTGCACTCCGGCTTGGGCGACAGAGCAAGACTGTCTCAAAAAAAAAAAAAAAAAAATTGGCTGCGTGCCGAGGCACATGCCCATAGTCCCAACTACTTGAGAGGCTGAGGTGGGAGTATCACTTGAGCCCAGGAGATGGAGGCTGCAATGAGCCCTGATCATGGCACTGCACTCCAGCCTGGGTGATAGAGCAAAACCCTATCTCAAGCATCAAACAAACAAACAAATAAAACAGAGGCACAAGAAAGCAAGGCATGCATGGAGCAGCGCAGTTGTTTGGTTTGAGGCCATCTGGGACAGGTAACTGCCTGGATTTAATCCTGGCTCACCATGTACAGGCTGTGTGACCTTGGACAAGCCATTCAAGTCCTCTAAGCTTCAGATTACCCATCTGTCAAGTGGGGGAGAATAATAGTGCTTAACTATCATTTGCAACATCTGAGTTTCTGGCTCGGCCAACGGGGATGGGGAACATAGAGTGAGGAGCAGGTGTGCTGTGAGATGGCGAACCTTCAACAGAGCCTGAGACGTCCGCGGAACACCAGGAGAGTTGCAGTGGGGATTTGCAAATAGGCATCTGGCTCCCCCACGGAGATGACGGGAATTTCAGCGCATCAGGCATAGCTGAGACTGTCTACGTGGTAAAACCATGCCTGAAAAGACCTTTGGAAAATCAGGAGGTTGCTGGAGCCCTTGGAGAGAGCTTTGGTGTCTGTGACATGTGGAAATGGAAGCCAGATTGAGGAGGGGGTGCGAGGGAAGGGGTGAAGCAGCTGGCCAGTGTGTTCTCTCCTGCAGCCTGACTGAAACAGGGAGGGGGCAACCAGGAACCCACAGCTGGAGAAGGACACTGGGCAGGGGTGGGACAGTTTGCTGGGAAGGATGAGACTCCAGTGTGTGGGAACCGATCAATGGGAGGATGGAAGGTATGGGGGAGACGGAGGCCTCTGCAGAGGGAGAGGATAGCACAGGAGCCAGGGCTGAAGGGAACAGTGGCTCTAGACTGAGGGTAATGGGCCTGAAGGTAGGCCCCTTCCCCTGTGAAGGCAGCATTATCTGAGGAGCCGTGAGGGATGGGCAAGAAGCAGCAGCTTGGGAATGCCGCCTGAGGTCAGTGGAAATGAAGCTGAGGGCAAGACAGTTAGGGCCCCACTGTTCCAGCATTGTGGGAATTGCGGTGGAGTGTGTGTGTGTAGGGAGGGGTTCCTGGCAGAGTCAGGCATGGATGGATTTGGAGGTCCCTTGAAGAAACTTCCTTCAGGTCAGCCTGAAGTGTGAGGGACTCTGAGGGGGTGCAATGCATGCCAGCCATCCCCTCCTTGCAGCCCTGCCTCACCCCAAAACTTCAGGTGGGCCTGGGGCTGAGGTGCTTGGATGTTTGTAGTAAGAGCTTCTAACTCTGCTGCTCCACCCGGCTCTCAGTGGCTCAGGTCTGAGAGGCCTCAGCAGGGGCAAGGAGAGGAGGCAGTGAGGAGGGAAGGCTCTGGAGGAAGAGGGCATGGCAGAGGGTCTTCGAGGCAACGCCAGGGAGGCCCAGGGCATGGGGGTGAGGAGCTAGAACTGAGCTCTGAGCCCTCCTCTGAGGTTGGGGCTTCTGGGCAGGCAGCCCCCTTAGAGGCCCTCCCTTGTAGGTATTCGGCCTTGGTTCCGTGGCCCATATGCTTCTAAATAAAACATTTGGGAGCTACCTTGGTGTCAACTTGGGTTTTGGCTTCGGAGTCACCATGGGAGTGCACATGGCAGGCCGCACCTCTGGTGAGTGAGCCCAGGCCCTGCCGGACCGGGCAAGACCAGGTGTCCCCAACAGGCTCTTTCCTGCCCGCCTCAGCCAGCTCCTTTGCCAGCACAGCCAGTGCCTCAGCCTGGCCACCGGGCGGGAGGAAGTCTCCTCTGAACCCCGTGCCTATGACGTGTCTGCCCCAGATTCTTCCTGGCCCCCCCGACCTACCATTTTCACTGGCTGGGTCATCTTAGGCAAGCCATCGCCTCTGTGTTCCTCAGTTTCCTTAAGAGTGAAACGAAGATGGTGGCCCCTGCCTCACGGGGTGGTTGTGAGGGCTCAAGGAGAGAACTCTGTCACGGAGCATGCTGTCATACACGCTAGCCATCGTTGTTCTCATACTGTTTGTCACTGTTGTTTGTTCTGCTCTCGCTCCCTGACACACTTGCCTGCTGCCCGCAGGAGCCCACATGAACGCAGCTGTGAGCTTCACTAACTGTGCACTGGGCCGTGTGCCCTGGAGGAAGTTTCCAGTCTATGTGCTGGGGCAGTTCCTGGGCTCCTTCCTGGCGGCTGCCACCATCTACAGTCTCTTCTACAGTGAGCGTCCTGCCCGGGTGTCCGCCTCTGGCCTCAGCTGCCTCCTATGAAATATGGGCAGATTGGACCTCAGTGTCCTGATTTGTAAAAAATAGCTGGGAGAAAAAAGCCTTGGAGATCTCCTACCCTCTAACCTATAACCTCATTTCCGGGACCCTGGTGGGGCTTAGTTGGGGACAGGTTCGCGTGATAGTCTGTGTCTCCACAGCGGCCATTCTCCACTTTTCGGGTGGAGAGCTGATGGTGACCGGTCCCGTTGCTACAGCTGGCATTTTTGCCACCTACCTTCCTGATCACATGACATTGTGGCGGGGCTTCCTGAATGAGGTCAGTGGTCCAGGATGAGTACCCCTCCCCCTGCCCTCCACCCCTCAGGACGGAGCCAGCAGGGAGTCCCTCCGGATAGACAGGACAAGAACTCTGGATGGAGACTGTACCAAGATGTGTCTCTGCTGGTGGGCTTGGGTCTGGGGCACTGCCGAGGTCCTGTGGCTTGGGGAGGGGCCCAGGTGAGCTTCCACAGCATCTGCTCCTCAGGAGTGGCTGACCGGGATGCTCCAGCTGTGTCTCTTCGCCATCGTGGACCAGGAGAACAACCCAGCACTGCCAGGAACACACGCACTGGTGATAGGCATCCTCGTGGTCATCATCAGGGTGTACCATGGCATGAACACAGGATATGCCATCAATCCGTCCCGGGACCTGCCCCCCCCCCCCGCATCTTCACCTTCATTGCTGGTTGGGGCAAACTGGTCTTCAGGTACTGCCCCTGCCCAGGCCCATTCCTTTGAGATTTTCTGTGGGGCCCCTGTGTGTTGAGGTGTGGGGGGTGATGTGAGGGGCAGCACAGGAGGGTCCTGCAGAGCCCCCAGGTGGCCTGGGGAGCAGGAGTGAGTCCCAACATTTCCCCAGGCCAGTAGAGATACAGATCCTGCACCTGCACTGAGTGTCAACCCTGTCCCTGAGTCGGGCTGAGGCTGACCAGGGCCCCGGGTTGGGGGTGTTTCCTGGGTTAGCCTGAGGATGACTCCTCTGCTCAACCAGTCTTGGCCCGAGGTGGATGAGGGTGCTGTCCTGGGCATCAGCCCCCTCAGCCGGCCTCTGCCTCTTGCCTGCAGCGATGGGGAGAACTTGTGGTGGGTGCCAGTGGTGGCACCACTTCTGGGTGCCTCTCTAGGTGGCATCATCTACCTGGTCTTCATTGGCTCCACCATCCCACGGGAGCCCCTGAAATTGGAGGACTCTGTGGCATATGAAGACCACGGGATAACCGTATTGCCCAAGATGGGATCTCATGAACCCATGATCTCTCCCCTTACCCTCATCTCCGTGAGCCCTGCCAACAGATCTTCAGTCCACCCTGCCCCACCCTTACATGAATCCATGGCCCTAGAGCACTTCTAAGCAGAGATTATTTGTGATCCCATCCCTTCCCCAATAAAGAGAAGCTTGTCCCACAGCAGTACCCCCACTTCCTGGGGGCCTCCTGTGGTTGGGCTTCCCTCCTGGGTTCTTCCAGGAGCTCTAGGGCTATGTCTTAGCCCAAGGTGTAGAGGTGAGGCACCTCAAGTCTTTCATGCCCTGGGAACTGGGGTGCCCCAGGGGGAGAATGGGGAAGAGCTGACCTGCGCCCTCAGTAGGAACAAGGTAAGATGAAAGAATGACAGAAACAGAATGAGGGATTTTCAGGCAAGGGGGAAGGAAGGGCAGTTTTGGTGAAAGGACTGTAGCTGACTGGTGGGGGGCTGGCTTTGGAAATACTTTGAGGGGATCCTGAGACTGGACTCTAGACTCTCCCCTGGTTGTTCCCTTCCCCGAGTTCTGGCCGGTTCTTGGACCAGACAAGGCATGGCCCAAGAAGGTAGATCAGAATTTTTTAGCCTTTTTTTCATTAGTGCCTTCCCTAGTATAATTCCAGATTTTTTTTCTTAATCACATGAAATTTTAATACCACAGATATACTATACATCTGTTTATGTTCTGTATATGTTCTGTGCTTTATACGTAAAAAAGAGTAAGATTTTTTTTCACCTCCCCTTTTAAGAATCAGTTTTAATTCCCTTGAGAATGCTTGTTATAGATTGAAGGCTGGTAAGGGGTTGGGCTCCTCTTTCTTCTTCCTGGTGCCAGAGTGCTCCCACATGAAGGAATAGGAAAGGAAGATGCAAAGAGGGAAATCCTTCGAACACATGAAGACACAGGAAGAGGCCTCTTAGGGCTCCAAGGGCTCCAGGGAAGCAGCTGCAGAGGTTGGGTGGGGTGAGGGGCCAGGATCCACTGACCCTGGGGCCAGGCAGGAATCACTCTGTTGCCTGGGGCTCAGAAGGCAGTATCACCCATGGTTCCTGTCATTGCTCATGTATTTTGCCTTTCAACAATTATTGTGCACCTACTGTGTGCAGGCCCTGCCTGGACACTGGGGATGCGCAGTGGATGCACTGGGCTCTGCCTTTGAGGGTTGCAGTTTAATGGGTGACAGGTAATTATAAGGAAGAAGGTGAGTGCAGAGTGGGAGGCTTGGAGGCTGTGGGGCTTGGGGTGGGGGAGCTCACATCCAGCCTCTGGGCCAAGGCCAGGAGGCTTCCCAGAGCAGGAGACAGAGCAGGGTATTGTGGTGGGGGGTGTCCTTTTTGGGGCTGGGATCTGCACTTTACAGTTTGAGGGGATGGGCAGAGGAGGCTGGGCTTCATTCTGGAGGTGGGGACATGGTGAGGTGAGGTTTAGAAAGCACACCTGAGCCGCAGTGTGTAGGATGCTGGAAATGGTGGAGATGGGCCTGCGAAGAGAGTGCTGGGAAGTGATGACCCAGGAGCAGCAGCCGGGCACCTAACAATGGGTCAGCACCGTGGGCGTGGAGACAAAGGCCGGGATTGATCAATACCCGAGAAGTACAATGTACAGGACTTGGGCTCCATTTGGATGGAGTGGGTGAGGGAGGAGTCAGAAATGGCTTCCGATTTCCAGCTTGGGCCTGGGGATTGGAGATGTCCCCACTGAGAGTAGGGCACAAGTGAGGAAATGGTTTGGAGAGGAAGATGATAAGTTACATCATGGATGTGCTGAGTCTGAGTTGCCTATGGGACTTGGAATGGGGGGTGGCAAAAGGTGTGTGATCTTGAGCAAGATATTCAACTCTTCTGGGCCTTGGTCTTCTCATTTGTAAAACGGTGATAAGAATATTACTTCCCATTTGTGTTGCTGTGAATATTAAATGCGCTACCACATGTAAAATGTTGAGAATCGTTTCTAGCTCAGAGTAAGTGCTCAATAAACACCATTATGCCTTTTATATGGTCTGGAGCTCAGAAGTGGAAGACAGGGTTTTGTGAAGTCATGGCTTTGTGGATGTAGCTAGATTGTGGAGTAATGGCAGGAGGGTCGGGGGCATGGCACAAGGTAAGTGGTCAAGAGACACTGGACACAACCCAAATGTCCATCCACAGGGTAACAGATACATACACTGCTGTGCAATTGCACATAATAGAATCCTCTACAATAGCAAAAATTAAGGCACAACAGACACCTGCAACAACACAGAAAAATTCTGGAGGCATAAAAAGTAATACAGTAGCTGGGTGTGGTGGTTCACACCTGTAATCCCAGCACTTTGGGAGGCCAAGGTGGGTGGATCACGAGGTCAAGAGATCAAGACCATCCTGGCCAACATGGTGAAACCCTGTCTCTACTAAAAATACAAAAATTAGCCGGGTGTTATGGCACACACCTGTAGTCCCAGCTACTCGGGAGGTTGAGGTGGGAGAACTGCTTAAACCTGGGAGGCGGAGGTTGCAGTGAGCCAAGATCACATCACTGCATTCCAGCCTGGCGACAGAGCGAGACTCGGTCTCAAAAAAAAAAAAAAAGCCTGGTGTAGTTGGGCACCTGTAATCCCAGCTGCTCAAAAGGCTGAGGCAGGAGAGAATCTCTTGAACCCGGGAGGCGGAGGTTGCAGTGAATGGAGATTGTGCCACTGCACTCCAGCCTGGGTGACAGAGTGAGACTGCGTCTCAAAAAAAAAAAAAAAAGTAATACGGTAGACTATATACAGTGTGACACAATCTTGTAGCTGAAAAATAAGCAAAAACACATTATTTGATATATATATGTATGTAAGAAAACTATTTTAGAAAAAGAAATAATTCCTACAGGCAGATGGGGAAGAACACAGGAGTAGTACAAGCTATTAATAATTTTCTAGTTTTGGAGTTGGACATTTGTGGGTTTATTATATGATTGTGCTTGATAACATATAAATGTGATACATATTGTTTGTATGAGATATATATATATGTATATATATATATACACCCACACACAGATAGATGATTGCTGACAAGGAGTTTCTAAAGATCATATATATATTTTTAGGTAAAATAGAATAACATTCTGCTTCTGGTCTTCATAATAAAAGAGAAATCAGGACTAAGAAATCAAGTGTTTATTATATAGAGTTTTAATTTTTATTCTTTTATTTATTGATTTATCTTCTTTAGGCATGTGCAGAGATGAACTCACTAATTGTTCAAAATAAACAATTTGAATTCAAAGCAAAGTATATTTTTGGAATATCAATTATCACTTATTGCAGATAAATGATAATATAAAACACCAACTTTGGAATTTATTTGTTTTACTTCTGTGACTCTCAGCCTACTTTTTAAAATATAGTGTATGTTTTAGGTAAGTTCAGACAGCAGCCAGCACTACATTTGGTTTAAAATCCAGTTTTATAATGACTTCATCTTTCAACCAGCCAAAGGGTAGTTACCTTGTGTCTGCCATCGTGCATATGCTCTCAGCTCCTGACTGAGAAAACATGCCTGCAAGCACTTCCCTGCCTGAGATTATATTAAAAATCCATACCTGTGCTAGCAGCATGAGTTCAAGTTGATTATTGTTCTAGATCTGTGACTTCCCATTCATCCTCCTAAAGATATAAATGATTGCTTTTCAATAGACCACATACATAGGAATGATTATGAAGGCAAGGTTTAGTAACAATAATATACATAGTACTCTAATGGGATTGAATTGGAACACCCACATTAAACTCTCTTAAAATATATGGAGCAGAACACATGAGAGAAAGCAAAAGAACAAGTGCACACAGCAGAGCTGCGAGTTGCATACTCTGTGCATGCTAATACCATCGCAACAACATCACTAAGGCTTCTGGGTAACGTTTGCCACATCATATTGTGACATGCATTTGTTTTTATATTTTACCCTAAAAGGCAAAATAACTCTCCATGTGATGACAGAAGGAGCACACACAAAAAAAACCCTCTCAGAAATATTAAAATGGTTGCAGGTAATTCAAATGGTATACTGTTTTAAAAGGTACTTGTCTAACACTTTAAGTTGGAAAAGCATCTTGGAAGTCATTAGATTCATATTTACATTACTTGAATTGTGACCCTAGCTTGACATTTCCATGGTGGGAGACATATTTTATTTAGGAGGCAGCAGTCTATTTAGTTTTTGAGAGCTTAATCGATAGATGGTTCAGATTTTCTACTGAACCAAAATCTAAATGCCTACCCATTGGTTTTCGTAGCCAACGTCAATATCCAACTGCTCTTTCATACAACATGGCTTCAAAGGCTATGTAACTAACATCATGCCACTGCACCTGTGTCTTTTTAAAGCCAAGTACCTCTAGTGCCCCTCATTATAGCTCATATTTCAAGGTATCTTTCAGCAACAATGAATTGCATTAATCAAACTCACTTTTTTTGCGTGTGCTTCACTTTATAGCTCTTCACAAATAACACATTTTTCACAAATTGAAGGTTTGTGGCAATCTTGCATCAAGCAAGTCTATTCATTCTATTTTTCCAACAACGTGCTCACCTTGTGTCTCTATTTGACATTTTAGTAATTATCACAACATTTCACATTTTTAAATTATTATTATTATTTTAAATATTTTAACTTTTAGGTTCATGGGAACGTGTGGAGGTTTGTTCTTTAGGTAAATTCGTGACTCAGGGGTTTGATGTACAGATTATTTTGTCACCTGAGTAGTAAGCATAGTACCCAACAATTTTTTTTTCCCTGAACCTCACCCATCTCTCATCCTCCTCCCTCAAGCACAACCTAGTGTCTATTGTGCTGCTCTTTCTGTCAATGTGTTCTCATTATTTAGCTCCCAGTGATAAGTGAAAATAGGGAGTATTGGGTTTTCTGATCCTGTGTTACTTTGCTAAGGATAATGGCCTCCAAGCTCCATCCATGTTGCCGCAAAGGACAGATCTCATTCTTTTTTATGGCTGCATAGTAATTCATGGTGTATATGTACCGTACTTTCTTTTTCCAGTCTACCACTGATGGGAATTTAAGTTGATTCCTGGGTATCTATTACCTAAATTACATATAAAAGCAGAAAAGAAAAATGACAAGTAGAACATGAAAGTTAAACAGTATCTTTTCAGGTTCAATGACATAAATATTCTTATTATCTAAAGGTATAAAGTCTAATGTTTTATTTCCTATAGTGCTTTTATAGCAAAACACTTTTCAGAATTAGATAAACCAGATTGAGGCCCCAGTCTTACTACCTATTAGCTAGGTAAACTTGAGCTTTGGGATTTTCAGATTCAGATCTTGCAGGCAAATAAGATTTATTTGATATTACTTGAGGATGACAATGTCTATCTTGCAGATTATTATGGTAATGAGTTTATTTATGTGGATTGTTTTAGGATATTTTAAAACTATGTACAGACCTAAAAAAATCCTCATAATCTTTGCAGAACTGGGGAGGCATACAGGCATAATACAACTGTAAGAGTTACTGTTTCTCATGCTTTTGTTTTCTAACTGCTCTGGCCACTGTTTTAGAAGGAAGGGTGAATATATGTAAATATTCCTGAAAAAATAAAGTTTTAGAATATTAAATTATTACATATTTCATTCAGAATTTTTTGAAAGGTAAAACCAATGATTGAACGTAGTTCATGGGATGATCTGGTCCATATTCATCTACCATGATTTAACAAATTTTTTTTCTCATCTATTGATGAGGAAAAAATTAAGGGGAAATGTAGAAATGTAAGGTAAATGATCTGCAAAGAAATACACACAGGAGGTATGTGGGAATGTAACAGTGTAGGTCCGCAGGCAAACTAGGTGAAGGAGGAAGGTGAGGAAGAAAGGCATTTAAGACTTACTCTTTCTGTTTTCTTCTCAATTTTAAAGCCTGATGGAATATAATTTTCTCTACAGTAAATGTTGAATGAAAATCAGTTTTGTATGTGTTAATAATGACTTCACCAAGAGCATTTGAAGCTCTGTCTATCATATTTTGATGCTCAAAATAAAACATTGTTTTTATAGCTTAATAGTCTCATACAGTCAATTATTGCCTCCCCTCCAGACTGACACTTTGAACATTATTATTAACACTGCTGTCCTTAAACCATCATCGGCCTGCAGTGCAGACAATTTATTGATAGCTAATAAAACAGTGTTCAGATGCTGCCTGAGGGCAGGATTCAGAATTGTCATACCAATGCATAACCACATTTGATTTTTTGGAACAAGTTCCATTACTTAAAAATTATGGTTTCATTTTCTTATTTTTATATCTAGATTTTAACATTATATGCATGCCTATATAAGCATTAAATATGTTATTCAGTTATGTGTGAGTGTAACTCAAATTTCTTGTAATGTGTATGTACAGTTTAATATAAGACAGATTATTGATTAGGAAATAGTTAACAATTAATAATAGACATTGGCCAACCTCAATTACTAAACCAGAAAATAAGTTTATTTATTTATTGTATTATTTTTTATTATACTTTAAGTTTTAGAGTACATGTGCACAATGTGCAGTTTATTTAAATGTATTGACTGTTTTTTAGTCACTACACAAATCATCTAAAAGAAAATACCACAGATGAAACCTGCAGATCCACTAACTAGTTATCAGTTTATCAAGACTGATCGTGTCCACTCCCTTCAGAAATCACATGGATTTGTGCATTATGCAGATCTTTTTTGGTCTTCCCCATCTTTTCCCATCCTGAACTAGAAGTAGAAGCCTATTGCATTTTTATCTGGTACTTTCTTTTGCATTTAGTAGAAATACATACACATACTACCCTAGGCTACTCCGCAGTACATTAAAATTTCCTTTTGCTTTCCAGTAATTTCAAATATCTCAACTAAATATCTCAGTTGAAAAATCAAAGTTTTAATTCTTATCCATCTTTCAACATAAAAACTTTTAATATTGATTATAATGTGTTGCCTGCACTTTTGTTTTTTTTTGTTTTGTTTTGAGACGGAGTTTCACTGTGTTGCCCAGGCTGGAATGCAGTGGCTAGATCTCAGCTCATTGAAATGTCCCGAGTTTAAGCAATTCTCCTGCCTTAGCCTCCTCAGTAGCTGGGATTACAGGCAAGCACCACCATGCCCTGCTAATTTTTGTATTTTTAGTAGAGATGGGGTTTCACCATGTTGGCCAGGCTGGTCTCAAACTCCTGACCTCAGGTGATCCTCCCGCCTCGGGCTTCCAAAGTGCTGGGGTTACAGGCGTGAGCCACCCTGTCTGGCCCAGCACTCTTAATAGATATATAAATCTTACTCTATTAATTGAACTAAGAACATCTTTATAATTTTCCAAATATCATTTATAATTATTAAATATTAAAACACATTTATTCTGCTTAGCAAACTTTGCATCTCCTCAGAATGCCTAAATATTTTGCCATATGAAGGTTCCAGTGGAAGTTTCAGACAATACATTTTGATGGCAAATGGTGAATTTTCCTATTGAGAAATATGTTGATTACAAGAAATAAGAGAGACAGTAGATTTTCAAAACCTTTTCAAACTATTTCAGATGAATATTCAGAATTATTTTACTTATAGATTGCACTCTTCTAAGGCACTTACATATTCTGACAACTATGTGTTTTTGAAGCAAATTTTGACTGAATTAATAAATGACAGCACAGATCAAAATTTAAAAACTTACAAAATTCTCAATAGATTTCACAATTGTGCAAAGTCCCATGCTTTCTTTTAATATTGTATACTTACTATACTTTTAAGGGGTACTTTTTAACAGTTGATTTATTATCAAATAAACTTTCTATAATTTGACAGAACAACATAAATTCTTGTTTTTCTCCTTTCTACCTAGAACATACATATGATAGTTGAGAAAGACACATATTCTGATCATGAAGAAATAAACACAAGTTAAATATGACTAAGCAGAAAGATGGAAGGACCAGGAATGGTGATGCTAACTTGGAACCACGATGCAGGCTCTAAACTCCTCTACAATCATCCTCCCTTGTGAGAAAAATACGTAAGTCACTTTTAAAATAAATAGAAACCTGAACACACTTCTTAGCTGGTTTAAGTATTTTAAAAACATTGATGAATTAAACACAGAAATATGGGGAAATCTCATTACTTACCTTAAATTTTGAAATTTTCTTTACAGATCATGAGTTACTTAATGCTCTTTCACTCCTGAGTTTACATTGTAAATTAAAGTTATGTCAGCTTTAAAAAATAACCAATTAAAAATAATGATCTAAATTTATACTTTAATTTTAACGAATAGTATTATCTCTTATTATTTACCTCTGATAAAGTCCAAATGTTTGTAGGCCTATAGCTCTGGTTATATACAATGAAATATCTTTCTCATGAGTGTAGAATATCTAGATTATATTTAATGCATTTACTTTTTGAGGAAAAGGAAACCCTTAATAAAATAGCTTCAAATATTTGGTTTTAAAAAATGAGAAAACAAATACATTACAGGACTTTTGGATTTATCACCAACATGTGAAGGGCTCAGAAGTTGTCATTCCTGGCCTTACAATAATAATAATAATAAAAGCTATACAAATTGAAAATCAATGACATTTCCACAGTGGGAGACATATTTTATTTAGGAGGCAGCAGTCTATTTAGTTTTTGAGAGCTTAATCGATAGATAGTTCAGGTTTTCTAGTGAACCAAAATCTAAATGCCTACCCATTGGTTTTGGTAGCCAACGTCAATATCCAACTGCTCTTTCACACAACATGACTTCAAAGGCTATGTAACTAACATCATGTCACTGCACCTATGTCTTTTTAAAGCCAAGTACCTCTAGTGCCCCTCATTATAGCTCATATTTCAAGGTTTTCTGTTCCTGCATTAGTTTGCTGAGGATAATGGCTTTCAGCTCCATCCATGTCCCTGCAAAGGACTTGATCTCATTTCCTTTTATGGCTGCATAGTATTCCATGTTGTATATGTACCACATTTTATTTACCCAGTCTATCATTGATGGGCATTTGGGTTGATTTCATGTATTAGCTATTGTGAATAGTGCTGCAATGAACACACACATGCATGTATCTTTATAATAAAATGATTTATATTCCTTTGGGTACATACCTAGTAATGGGATTGCTGGGTCAAATGGTATTTCTGGTTCTAGGACTTCGAGGAATTGCCACAGTCTTCCACAATAGTTGAACTAATTTACATTCCTACCAACAGTGTAAAAGCATTCCTATTTCTCTGCAGCCTCAACAGTATCAGTTGTTTCTTGACTTTTTAATAATCACCATTCTGACTAGTGTGAGATGGTATCTCATTGTGGTTTTGATTTGCATTTCTCTAATGATTAGTGATGTTGAACTTTTTTTTTGCATGTTTGTTGGCCACATAAATGTCTTCTTTTGAGAAGTGCCTGTTCATGTCCTTTGCCCACTGTTTAATAGGATTGTCTGTTTTTTTCTTGTAAATTTGTTTAAGTTCCCTGTAAATTCTGGATATTAGACCTTTGTCGGATGGATAAATAGCAAATTTTTCTCCCATTCTGTAG
The DNA here is from genome assembly GCF_000001405.40 of Homo sapiens. NCBI lineage: Eukaryota > Metazoa > Chordata > Mammalia > Primates > Hominidae > Homo > Homo sapiens. Next base: position 63,307,620 of record NC_000009.12, on the reverse strand, counting down.
GTTGTCTGTTCACTGTGATGATAGTTTCTTTTGCTGAGCAGAAGCTCTTTAGTTTAATTAGACCCCATTTGTTAATTTCTGCTTTTGTTGCTATTGTTTTTGGCATTTTTGTCATGAAATCTTTGCCTATGCCTATGTCCTGAATGGTATTGCCTAGATTTTCTTCTAGGGTTTTTATAGTTTTGGATTTTACACTTAAGTCTTTAACCTATCTTGAGCTAATTTTTGTATAACGTGTAAGGAAGGGGGTCCAGTTTCAATTTTCTGCATATGGCTAAAGTTCTTCCATAGTTCTTCCAGCACCATTAATTAAATAGAAAATCCTTTCCCCATTACTTGTGTTTGTCAGGTTTGTTGAAGATCAGATGGTTGTAGCTGTGTGGTCTTATTTCTGAGTTCTCAATTCTGTTCTATTGGTCTATGAGTCTGTTTTTGCACCACCACTATGCTGTTTTGTTTACATGCTGGTTTGGTAGCCTTGTAGTGTAGTTTGAAGTAAGGTAGCATGATCCCCCCAGCTTTGCTATTTTTGCTTAATATTATCTTGGCTCTACAGACTCTTTTTTGTCCATATGAATTTTAAAACAGATTATTCTAATTCTGTGAAAAATGTCAATGTTAGTATAAGGGGAATAGCATTGAATCTATAAATTACTTTGGGTAGTATGGCCATTTTAATCATATTGGTTCTTTCTATCACTTCCCTTCTTAGCTGTATTCCTAGGTATTTTATTCTCTGTAACAATTGTGGAATTGGAGTTCTTTCATGATTTGGCTCTCTGCTTGTCTGTTGTTAGTGTGCAGGAATCCTTGTGATTTTCGCACATTGATTTTTTATCCTGAGATTTTGCTGACAATGGGGTTGAGACAATGGGGTTTTCTAGATAAAGGATCATGTCATCTGCAGAGACAATTTGGCTTCCTCTCTTCCTATTTGAATACCATTTGTTTCTTTCTCTTGCTTAATTGTTCTGGCCAGAACTTCCAATAATATGTTGAATAGGAGTGGTAAGAAAGAGCATCCTTGTCATGTGCCTCTTTTCAATGAAAATGCTCACAGCTTTTTCCCATTCAGTATGATATGGGTTGTTAGTTTGTCATAAATGGCTCTTAATATTTTGAGGTATGGTCCTTCAATACCTAGTTTATTGAGAGTTTTTAAAATGAAGGGATGTTGAATTTTAACATGAAGTGTTGTTGAAAGGCCTTTTCTGCATCTATTGAGATAATTATGAGGTTTTTATCTTTAGTTCTGTTTATGTAATGGATTACATTTATTGATTTGCATATGTTGAAACAGCCTTGTATCCCGGGGATGAAGCCAACTTGATTGTGGTGGATAAGCTTTTGGATGTGCTGCTGGATTTGGCTTGCCAGTATTTTATTGAGGATTTTTGCATCGATGTTCATCAGGGATATTGGCCTGAAGTTGTCTTGTTTTGTTGTATCTCTCCCAGGCTTTGGTATCAGGATGATGCTGGCCTCATAACATGAATTAGGGAGGAGTCTCTCCTCTTCAATCATTTGGAATAGTTTCAGAAGAAATAGCACTGGCTCCTCTTTGTACATCTGGTAGAATTCCACCATAATTCCATCTGGTCCTGGTCTTTCATTGGTTGGTAGGCTATATATTACTGCCTTAATTTCAGAACTTGTTATTGGTCTATTCAGGGATTCAACTTCTTCCTGGTTCAATCTTGGGAGTTTATGTGTCCAGGAATTTATCCATTTCTTCTAGATTTTCTAATTTATTTGCATAGAGGTGTTTATAGTATTCTCTGATGGTTGTTTGTATTTCTGTAAACTCAGTGTTCCTATCCCCTTTATCATTTTTTATTGTGTCTATTTGATCTTCTCTCTTTTCTTATTAGTGTAGCTAAAAGTCTATTTTGTTAATTTTTTTCAAAAAAACAGTTCCTGGATTTGTTGATTTTTTGAAGGGTTTTTCCTGTCTCAATCTCCTTTAGTTTTGCTCTGATCTTACTTATTTCTTGCCTTCTGCTAGCTTTGGGGTTTGTTTGTTCTTGGTTCTCTAGTTCTTTAAACTGTGATGTTAGGATGTTGACTTGAGATATTTCTGATGTGGATATTTAGTGCTATACATTTCCTCAATGCTGTTTTAGCTGTATCCCAGAGATTCTGGGACATTGTCTCTTTGTTCTCATTAGTTTCAAATAACTTCTTGACTTCTGCCTTAATTTCATTTTTTACTCAGTAGTCATTCAGAAGCAGGATGTTACATTTCTATGTAGTTGTGTGGTTTTGAGTGAGTTTCTTAATTTTGAGTTCTAATTTGATTGTACTGTGGTCTGAGAGACTATCAAGATTTTAGTTATTTTGCATTTGCAGAGGAGTGTTTTACTTCCAATTATGTGATCGATTTTAGAGTAAGTGCCATGTAGCTCCAAGATGAATGTATATTCTGTTGTTTTTGAATGGAGAGTTCTGTAGATACTTATCAGGTCCACTTGATCTACAGCTGTTTGAGTCCTGAATATCCTTGTTAACTTTCTGTCTTGATAATTTGTCTAATATTGACAGTGGGGTGTTAAAGTCTCCCACTATTATTATGTGAGAGTCTAAATGTCTTTGTAGGTCTCTAGGAACTTGTTTTATGAATCTGGGTCCTCTAGAATTGGGTGCATATGTATTTAGGATAGTTACCTCTTCTTGATGAACTGAATACTTAACCATTATGTAATTCCCTTCTTTGTCTTTTTTTATCTTTGTTGATTTAAAGCCTGTTTTCTCAAACACTAGAATTGCAACCCCTCCTTTTCCTGCTTTCCGTTTGCTTGGTAAATTTTCCTCCATCTCTTTATTTTGAGCCTATGTGTGTCTTTGCATATGAGATGGTTCACCTGAATACAGCACACTGGTGGGTCTTGACTATCCAGTTTGCCAGTCTTTGTCTTTTAATTGGGACATTCAGTCCATTTACATTTAAGGTTAATATTCTTATGTGTGAATTTGGTCCTGTGATTATGATGCTATCTGGTTATTTTGCAGACTTGTTAATGTTGTTGCTTCATAATATTATTGGTCTGTGTACTTTACTGTGTTTTTGTAGTGGCCGGTAATGGTTTTTCCCTTCCATATTCAGTGCTTCCTTTAGGAGCTCTTGCAAGGCAGTCTTGGTTGTGATGAATTCCCTCAGTATTTGCTTGTCTGAGAAGGATTTTATTTCTTCTTTGCTCATGAAGCTTAGTTTGGCCAGATATGAAATTCTGAGCTGGAAATTCTTTTCTTTAAGACTGTTGACATGAAGTCCTTGCCCATGCCTATGTCCTGAATGGTAATGCCTAGGTTTTCTTCTAGGGTTTTTATGGTTTTAGGTCTAACGTTTAACTCTTTAATCCATCTTGAATTGATTTTTGTATAAGGTGTAAGGAAGGGATCCAGTTTCAGCTTTCTACATATGGCTAGCCAGTTTTCCCAGCACCATTTATTAAATAGGGAATCCTTTCCCCATTGCTTGTTTTTGTCAGGTTTGTCAAAGATCAGATAGTTGTAGATATGTGGCGTTATTTCTGAGGGCTCTGTTCTGTTCCATTGATCTATATCTCTGTTTTGGTACCAGTACCATGCTGTTTTGGTTACTGTAGCCTTCTAGTATAGTTTGAAGTCAGGTAGCGTGATGCCTCCAGCTTTGTTCTTTTGGCTTAGGATTGACTTGGCGATGCGGGCTCTTTTTTGGTTCCATATGAACTTTAAAGTAGTTTTTTCCAATTCTGTGAAGAAAGTCATTGGTAGCTTGATGGGGATGGCATTGAATCTGTAAATTACCTTGGGCAGTATGGCCATTTTCACGAGATTGATTCTTCCTACCCATGAGCATGGAATGTTCTTCCATTTGTTTGTATCCTCTTTTATTTCTTTGAGCAGTAGTTTGTAGTTCTCCTTGAAGAGGTCCTTCACATCCCTTGTAAGTTGGATTCCTAGGTATTTTATTCTCTTTGAAGCAATTGTGAATGGGAGTTCACTCATGATTTGGCTCTCTGTTTGTCTCTTTTTGGTGTATAAGAATGCTTGTGATTTTTGTACATTGATTTTGTATCCTGAGACTTTGCTGAAGTTGCTCATCAGCTTAAGGAGATTTTGGGCTGAGACAATGGGGTTTTCTAGATATACAATCATGTCGTCTGCAAACAGAGACAATTTGACTTCCTCTTTTCCTAATTGAATATCCTTTATTTCCTTCTCCTGCCTGATTGCCCTGGCCAGAACTTCCAAAACTATGTTGAATAGGAGTGGTGAGAGAGGGCATCCCTGTCTTGTGCCAGTTTTCAAAGGGAATGCTTCCAGTTTTTGCCCATTCAGTATGATATTGGCTGTGGGTTTGTCATAGATAGCTCTTATTATTTTGAAATTCATCCCATCAATACCTAATTTATTGAAAGTTTTTAGCATGAAGGGTTGTTGAATTTTGTCAAAGGCTTTTTCTGCATCTATTGAGATAATCATGTGGTTTTTGTCTTTGGCTCTGTTTATATGCTGGATTACATTTATTGATTTGCATATATTGAACCAGCCTTGCATCCCAGGGATGAAGCCCACTTGATCATGGTGGATAAGCTTTTTGATGTGCTGCTGGATTCGTTTTGCCAGTATTTTATTGAGGATTTTTGCATCAATGTTCATCAGGGATATTGGTCTAAAATTCTCTTTTTTTGTTGTGTCTCTGCCTGGCTTTGGTATCAGAATGATGCTGGCCTCATAAAATGAGTTAAAGCAATGGAAACAAAAGACAAAATTGACAAATGGGATCTAATTAAACTAAAGAGCTTCTGCACAGCAAAAGAAACTACCATCAGAGTGAACAGGCTACCTACAAAATGGGAGAAAATTTTCGCAACCTACTCATCTGACAAAGGGCTAATATCCAGAATCTACAATGAACTCAAACAAATTTACAAGAAAAAAACAAACAACCCCATCAAAAAGTGGGCGGAGGACATGAACAGACACTTCTCAAAAGAAGACATTTATGCAGCCAAAAAACACATGAAAAAATGCTCATCATCACTGGCCATCAGAGAAATGCAAATCAAAACCACAATGAGATACCATCTCACACCAGTTAGAATGGCAATCATTAAAAAGTCAGGAAACAACAGGTGCTGGAGAGGATGTGGAGAAATAGGAACACTTTTACACTGTTGGTGGGACTGTAAACTAGTTCAACCATTGTGGAAGTCAGTGTGGCCATTCCTCAGGGATCTAGAAGTGGAAATACCATTTGACCCAGCCATTCCATTACTGGGTATATACCCAAAGGACTATAAATCATGCTGCTATAAAGACACATGCACACGTATGTTTATTGCGGCATTATTCACAATAGCAAAGACTTGGAACCAACTCAAATGTCCAACAATGATAGACTGGATTCAGAAAATGTGGCACATATACACCATGGAATACTATGCAGCCATAAAAAATGATGAGTTCATGTCCTTTGTAGGGACATGGATGAAATTGGAAATCATCATTCTCAGTAAACTATCGCAAGAACAAAAAACCAAACACTGCATATTCTCACTCATAGGTGGGAATTGAACAATGAGATCACATGGACACAGGAAGGGCAATATCACACTCTGGGGACTGTTGTGGGGTGGGGGGAGGGGGGAGGGATAGCATTGGGAGATATACCTAATGCTAGATGATGAGTTAGTGGGTGCAGCGCACCAGCATGGCACATGTATACATATGTAACTAACCTGAACAATGTGCACATGTACCCTAAAACTTAAAGTATAAAAAAAAAAGACTGTTGAATATTAGCCCCCAATTTCTTCTGGCTTATGGGGTTTCTGCTGAGGAGTCCACTGTTATTCTGATGGACTTCCTTTTCTAGGTGACGTGGCTCTTAACAATTTTCCTTCATTTTGACCTTGGAGATACTGACAATTATGTGTTTTGGGTTGATCTTCTCATGGATCTTACTGAAGTCCTCTGAATTTCCTGAATTTGAATGTTGGCCTGTCTTGCTGGGTTGGGGAAATTCTCCTGAATGATTTCCTGAAGTATGTTTTCCAACTTGGTTTCATTCTCCTCATTTCTTTCAGGTACCCCAATCAGTTGTAGGTTTGGTCTTTTTACATAATTCCATAGTTCTCTGATTATTTTTCATTCCTTTTCAGTTTTTTCTCTAATCTTATCTGCCTGTCTTATTCCAGCAAGATAGTCTTTGAGCTCTGAGATTCTTTCCTCTGCTTGGTCTATTCAGTTATTTATGCTTGTGGTTGCATTGTGAAGTTCTGGTGTTGTGTTTTTCAGGTCCATCAGGTCATTTATGTTCCTCTATAAACTGGTTATTCTGGTTTACAGTTCCTATAATGTTTGCATGGTTATTAGCGTCTTTGAATTGTTTTAGAATATACTTTAGCTCAGCAAAATTTGTTATTACCCACCTTCTGAAGAATACTTCTATCAGTTCATCCACCTCAAGCCTCCACCCAGTTCTGTGCCCTTGCTGGAGAGGTGTTGCAATCATTTGGAGGAGAAGAGGCATTCTGGCTTTTTGAGTTTTCAGCATTTTTGCATTGATTCTTTCTCATCTTCATGAGCTTATCTATCTTCGATCTTTGAGGCTGCTGATCTTTGGAAGGGGTTTTTGTGGGGCCATTTTTGTGGATGTTTTTGTTGTTGTTGTTTTCTGTTTGTTTGTTTTTCTTTCAACAGTCAGACCCCTCTTCCTTAGGGCTGCCGCAGTTTGCTGGGGGTCCACTCCAGACCCTATTCACTTGGTCCCTCCCCTACCTGGAGGTGTCACCAGTGGAAGCTGCAGAACAGCAAGGATGGCTGCCTGCTCCTTCTTTTTTGAGCTCCATCCCAGAGGGGCACTGATGTGATGCCAGCAGGAACACTCCTGTATAAGGTGCCTGGAGACCCCTGTTGGTGGTCTCAATCAGTTAGGGAGTATGTACAGGATCGGGGACCACTTAACAAAGCACTCTGGCTGCCCCTTGGCAGAGAGGGTGCACTGCACTGGAGGGAATCTCCCTTGTCCAGAATGTCCAGACCCTTCAGAGCCAGCAGGCAGGAAAGACTAAGTCTGCTGAACCGCAGAGACTGTGGCTGTCCCTCCCCACAGGAGTTCTGCCCAGGAAGATCAGAGTTCTGTCCATAAACCTCTGGCTGGAGTTGGTGAAATTCCCACAAGGGGGCCCCACCCAATGAGTAGGGATGGATCCAGGTTCCACCTAAAAAAGCAGTCTGGCCATGATCTGCCACAGCTGCTGTGCTCCCGGTCTAAACCTCCCTGTCTCCCCAGCACCACCAGGGGAAAACAGCCAACTGATGCCACAGTGATAGCAACCACCCCTTCCCCTGGGAACTCAGTCATCTTAGACAGTCTCCAGTCTGCTGTCACTGGCCACAGCCTGAGCGGTGATGAGAGTCTGCACAGCTCTGTGCTTGGCACCCAAGGCCCTGGTGGTGTGGACTCACAAGGGGATCTCTTGATCTGTGAGTTGCACAGATCCATGGAAAAAGCATGGTTCCTCAGGAAAGGGAGCACAATCACTCACTGCCTCCCTTGACTGGGGGTGGGAGTGCCCCTTGCCCCATGCAGCTCCCAAGTGAGGCATTGCTCCACCCTGCTTTTCCTTGCTCCCTGTGGGTCAGGCCAATCACCTTGTCAGTCCCAGTGAGAGAATCTGGATACCTCAGATGAAGGTGCAGAATTCACTCGCCATTTTTGTTCTTCTAGATGGGAGTCACAGACCACAGCTGCTTCTAATTGGCCATCTTGGCACCTCCTCATTTAACCTTCTTTTCTCATCTAAAGGGGATAAAGGATGAAACTGTCCCAAAGAAAAGTTTATAAACCAATTAAGGGAGAAAATAAAATTCAACTAGGCTTGCAGAATAATCAGTGGCAATCATGAAATCCACTTCCCAATTTGGCCTACTTCCTTGTAGCTAGTTACTTCTTACTCCCCCAAGATAGTGTAGCCCTTGTCACAAGACTGTGTTCCTTTTCTTTTCTATAGATAAGATCTAAGGCACATGAGATGATATGCTTTCTGTTTGAGTTTCTCCTTTATGTTACGCATACTGATAAAATTGTTGATGCCAGTTGATCTGAAGGTCCCAGCAAGGAGCCGACTCACAGAAGAATGCAGTTTTCACATCATGATGATTTAATCTTCCTTGACCTGAGCAATTGACAACCCCAATTCTCCAGAACCTCACCCGCCACAATCCCCTTAAAAACCCTGGCCCAGAACCCCTCAAGCAGACAGATGTGAAGCTTGAGGATTCCTTCATCTCTTTGCCCAATGGCATTGTGATTATTAAACTCTTTTTCTGCTGCAAATTATGATGTCTCAGTGTATTGGTCTATTGCTGCTCAGTGGGCATATGAATCTGGCAGTCCTGTAATAGGGACAAAAGATAAACTACTGGCAAAACACTCGTAAAAGTCATAACCTAAGACATAGGCCCACTGAAAGGCGGATATTCAATCAGAGCACTGTAGAACATATTTCTCTGCTCATACCATAAAATTTAAACCAACATGACTCCAATATAAGGAGACAGACAAAAGAGCTATAAGAAACAGACACTGTTTGAAGATGAGTACTTAAGGAAACCTAAAGTTAAGGGAGGAGACAAAAACAAGGACACTAGAGGAATTTGAAACCTTCAGAAACTTGAGCTATAACAAATATTAAATGCAGTTCAACTCCAAGACAGATTAACATATATCCTCAATTAACTTTATCTCAGTATCAATTTATCTCAGCATCAATTTATCTCAATATCTATTATGGATACCACATGTCTGGCTCTCAACAATGGCAACAAAATTACAAAACATGGTAAAAGGCAAGAAAAAAATTAACAATCTGAAGAGACAGGATGATCATCAGAACAAGACTCAGTGATGATGATGCATATTTTGGAAATAGCAATCAAGAAATTTACATAACTATGATTAAGATGTTAAGGACACTAGTGGAAAATGTAGAAAATATTCAATAAAAGATGATTAGTATAAGCAGAGAGATGAAAATTCTAACAAAGAACCAAAATAAAAGGCTAGAAATTAAAATAACGCCAATAGATTTTTTTAAAATGCTTTCAATGGTTTCATTAGTAGACCAGACATGTTTGGGGAAAGAATTGGTGAAACTAAAGATAGGTCAAAAATACATTTTAAAACAAAGTGCCAAGAAAAAATAAACGGAAAAAAAAAGTGAAGGACATCAAAGACCCGCTGGGCAGTTTCTAAAGTTGTACAAAATGGGAAACTGGAATAGCAGAAAGACAAGAAAGAGAGAAATGAGGAGAATCTATCTAAATGAGTAATGGTCAAGAAATTTTAAAGCATAATGACATGAAACAAACAACCGGTCCAGGAAGCTCAGAGAATACAATTCATGACAAACAACAAAAATACAGCACCAGACATAGCATTACCTATATGTAGAATAAAATAAAATAAAATAAATCAATAAATAGACAAAGAGAAAATCTTGACAGAATCTGGAATGAAAACTACATTCCTTGTAGAGAAAAAAGAGCAAGGATTTCAGCCCACTTCCAGTAAGAAACCAGGCAAGAAAGAAGAGAGTTGCGGGAAATGTTTAGGAATAAATGCACCAACTTAGAATTCTACATCTAGCAAAATTATACTTCAAAAGCAGAGGGGAAATCAGAATTTACCAGACAATAAAACACTAACGGAATATATTGCCAGAAAACTTTCCTGCAAATGTGTTAAAAGAGGTTATTCATGGAGGAGAAGAGTGATATAGATCAGAAACCTGTATTTACAATAAGAAAGCAAGTATGTTGAAAAAGGAAAAAAAAATGTTTTATTTTTCTTATTGTAAATCTTTTTAAACTACATGTTTGTTTAAAGTAATATTAGTAAATGTTTTGGGCAATTACAGCATGTGGGTAAGTGAAATGCCTGATGGTTATGTTACAAAAGATATGAAGGATGAACTGGGACTATTCTATTAACGTGTCCAGAATTGGTGGGTTCTTGGTCTCACTGACTTCAAGAATGAAGCTGCAGACCCTAGTGGTGAGTGTTACAGTTCTTAAAGATGGTGTGTCCGGAATTTGTTCTGACGTTCAGACGTGTTCGGAGTTTCTTCCTTCTGGTGGGTTTGTGGTCTTGCTGGCTTCAGGAGTGAAGCTGCAGACCTTCGCGGTGAGTGTTACAGCTCTTAAGGCAGCACGTCTGGAGTTATTCATTCCTCTCAGTGGGTTCCTGGTCTCACCGGCCTCAGGAGTGAAGCTGCAGACCTTCCCGGTGGTTGTCACAGCTCATAAAGGCAGTGTGGACCCAAAGAGTGTGCAGCAAGATTTACTGCAAACAGCAAAAACACAAACCCTCCACACCACGGAAACGGACCCAAGCCGGTTATCACTGTCCCTTGTGGCAGCCTGCTTGTATTCCCTCACCTGACCCCACCCACATCCTGCTGATTGGTCCATTTTGCAGAGAGCTGATTGGCCTGTTTTGACAGGGTGCTGATTGGTGCGTTTACAAACCTTGAGCTAGACACAGAGTGCTGTTTGGCGCATATACAATCCTCCAGCTAGACACAAAAGTTCTCCAAGACCCCACCTCACTGGGGAGCCCAGCTGGCTTGCCTAGCAGATCCCGCGCTGGGGCCGCTGGGGGAGCTGCCCGCCAGTCCCACGCCAGGTGCCTGCACTAGTCAGCCCTTGGGTGGTTGATGGGACCAGGCGCCACGAAGCAGGGGGCAGTGCCGTTGGGGAGACTCCCGCTGGCCGCTGGGAGCCCACGGGGGAAGGCGCGGGCGGGGAAAGGCTCGGGCATGGCGGGCTGCAGGTCCCGGGCCCTGCCCCACAGCGAGGCGGCTGAGGCCTGGCAAGAATTCGAGCCTAGAGCGGGCGGGCTGGCAGTGATGCGGAACTCAGCGCATACTCCGCAGCGGCTGGCCCTGGGTGCTAAGCCCCTCACTGCCCAGGGCCTGTGGCGCCAGCCTGACCGCTCTGAGTGCAGGGCCGCCCCCGCGTGTGCCGCGCGCAGCCTCAGTTCCCGCCTGTGCCTCTCCCTCCACACCTCCCCGCAAGCAGAGGGAGCATGCTCCGGCCTTGGCCAGCCCACAGACGGGCTCCCACAGTGCAGCGGTGGGGCGAAGGGCTCCTCAAGCGTGGCCAGAGTGGACGTCCAGGCCGAGGAGACACGGAGAGCGAGCAAGGGCTGCCAGCACGCTGTAACTTCTTATTAAGGTACCTGCACTATATGTGAACTGGTGGAGTGCTATTTGAAGGTGATCTTAGATTAGTAACAAATGTGTATTGGATACTCTGGGGAACCACTAGAATAGTTGAAAAAGAAAGTATGCTTTACATGTAATGAGTGACATTAGGTTTGATAGTGGATTTTTAGATATAATATTAATACGAAAAGTTCTAGCTACAAAAGAAAAAATGATGTTAGAGTTTGTTAAATTTAAAATGGAATTTTCTGCTCTGTGAAAGACTCCAGAGAGTTAAAAGACAAGCCACAAACTAGAAGAAAATATCTGTAAACCATATATCTAATAAAGTATTGGTATCTAAACATACAAATAACTCTGAAAACTGAATAATAAGAAAGCAAACAAGCCAATTACAAATGTGCATAGAATCTGAAAAGACACCTCACCCCTGCCCCCGAAATACCCATGGCAACTGGCATATAAAAATATGCTCAGTATTTTTTTTCTTTAGAGAAACACAAATTAAAACAATTGTGATACTACCACACATTAGTTAAAATGGCTTAAATCCATGAACCGAAGTATTACAAATTCTGGTGAAAATGTAGAGCAATAGTAGCTGTTTGCTGAAGGGAATTTTAAAAATGGTACTGCACGCTGGAAGACAGATTGGCAGTTTCTTACAAATCTAAATATCGTCTCACCACGTACTTCAGCTATCATTCTTCTAGGTATTTATCCCAATGATGTGACAATTTATATCACATAAAAATGTGAATGTTTATCAGAGTTCTTTTTTATAATTATCAAAAATGGACAGCAACCTACATGGCCTTAAACCTTAAGTAAGTGAATTGATATACTGGTACATCCAGAAAAAAGAAATAAATATAAATCTACAGGAATAAATACATGAATATTCAATATTTATTGCTCTGTGAAAGAAATTGGTCAGCAAATGCCTCGTATTATATATTGCTAAATATATGACATGGTAAAAAAGGCAAAACAATATAGTATAAAAGATTAGTGCTTCCAGAGGTGAGGGGAGAGGAAGTAGGGTTAAATATGTGAAACATGAAAACAAATTTTTTACTGTACTGAAACTATTTTATATGATATTGTAATGGTGGACATAACATTATGCATTTCTCAAAATCCATAAGAGTTTTTGAGCTTGAGGAGGAAACATTAATTTATATAACTTTAAAAAAAACTATCCTTTAGGAAGTAGAGGGATTGCAAGATGGAATGCAGAGTGTGACAAAATATTATAACTGTATTGAAAATATATGAAACAACCTCACTGAGATGGGTGGGAAAAAATGCGTTGAAATAAGTAATTTCAGAAATGAGAGGAGACTGTAAAATTAAAGGTGAAAGGAAGTGTATACAAGCACAGTGCTCCAGTTAATAAAGTTGTTTCTCATGGAAGTATGGTGTAACGTTTCTGACATCACCGTATATGTACACTGTGAATGAACAATTAAGAAAGTGAGTGATGAATGGTGGCCGGGAACAAGTAGAGGGTTATTCTTGATATTCTCCTCAAATTTCTTTAATTAATTAGTAAATGAATTAGCAAGTCCCTAATGGCCTTTAGAGTCTGCTGAAGGAGATGAATAAACAGCTGACTATTAATATAGCATAATATAATATAGTGTTTAATATAAACAAAGGGCTATGTGAGTGTGGACCAAGAGACTATTATTTTCACCTTTTATCTAAAACCTTGAAAAAGTTGGCACTTCTACCTTACCTTAGATAGTAAGCAAGAGTTAGATAAGTTGAAATGACACATTTTTCATGCAGAAAATATTACACACGAAGACATGGAGGTTCAAAATTTCCAGGTTATAGGGAAATTGCAGGATGCTGAAATATGCAGGTTGCTGAAAGGAATGCAGTATGATGCAAGATATTTGATGTTGGGCAAAAATAATTTTAACTTCTATTATACAGTCTGTAGAGAATGGGCAACATTGAGGGGTAACAGAAGCCTTTGTTACTCCATCTTTGAAAAATAAATAATAATAATTATCCCATTTAGATATTAAAGATTAAATAGGTTAGTGAATTCAAAGTATGCCATATAAATTCTGGCAAATAATATGTTCAAAATAAATTGTAACTTTGATTATTAAAACATATGTATACACACACGTACATATATATGTATGTGTATATGTATGTGTATGTGTGTGTGTATAACAGAATTAATTGTATATCATAGTTGAAGTAAAAGAATGGGAAGAAAAAATACTTTAATGGGCCTCCAAATAGGACAAGACTATATACATATAGTCTTGCATATATATATATATATACACACACACACATCTAAATAAAATGTATCAATACACACACACACACATATTCTCAGTACATGGGGATAATCAGAAAGATGGCTACAAAAATACAACCCTCTTAGTTTTATATAACCCTTTATAAATATATAAAACTAAGAGAAGAAAGAATGCCTTCTGAAGCACTGTAAACTAACCTAAGGGGGGTAAAGTCAGAGGATTTTACTATGTTGGAACTGAATTTATTAACATAGCTATAGAAAGAGTCTGTCAATGAAAGGAGAATTAGTTGCCTATGGAAACTGAGCTACAGATGAATCTTTAAGGCATAAATCTCTTTTCCACCTAAGTGGAAGTCCAATTCCTGAGGCAGGAAGTCTGGGCAAGTGAAATTGCCAGTTAAGTTGGTAAGCCTTCCTACAATAAAAATAAATGCATGTGCACATTTATATTAGCTTGATGGTGTTAAATATTCTAATCATTGAACTTTATTTTTCTGATCTAATACATACCCAGCTATCATGTGACTACATTTTGTTTTCCCATACAGATGTGCGTTTGGGTGGAAAGTATGTACTGTTTATGCTGAAGTAAGAATTTTATTTTATATAACATAGTTCTTGTTATAAATTAATAAACTAACATTCTGATTGTTTATAGTCATTGTGTGTTGAATCGAGTCTCCAAAATGAAATACTAATCCCAATACTTGTGAATGTGACCTTATTTGGAAATAGGTTATTGCAGATGTTATTTTGAAACAGGGTCATATTGAAATGGGATGGGCCCTAATTCAATGACTGGTTTCTTTATAAAGAAAGAAAATATGGACACAGAGAGACATAAAGAAATATAAGGAAGAAGGCCATGTAATGACAGAGGCAGACAGTGGGGTGATGCATGCACAAGTCAAGGAACACCAAAAATTGCTGGCAACCACCAGAAACTAGAAGACACACGTGGAACGGACTTTAAGTCAGAACTTTTCAGAAGGAACCAATCTTGCCAACACCTTGATTTCAGGCTTCTAGCTTACAGAGCTGTGAGACAACAAATGTTTGTTTTTTTTTTTTAAGCCACCTATATTGTGATACTTTGTTATGGCAGCCCTAGAAAGCTAATACAATAGTCAAAGGGAAATAAATTATCTCCCTGTAGCCTAAAACTTTAAAATAATTTTTTTTTTCCCAGAGGCCTTTTCTTTCATTTGTTGGTTTTGGTTTCTATACAATAGATCAAACATCTTCACTAATAGTTTTCTTAGACATTATTTTTGGAAACATTTTTAAAGGACTCATGGAAATCTATAATCTATGCTGATTGACTACTTCCATGTAAAGAATTTGATATTTTTCATAGTTACTACTGGCTGTTACTGTGCTATTCCTAATTGTCTTGAATGTTGCGTATGTAGCATGAAATCCCAATTTTTATTGAAGTAGGATATATATATATATAACTCTTCTATGGTTGTCTTCAAGCTGGAGCCTATTTGTTAGCACTGCAGGGCATCGTGTGTGTGTGTGTGTGTGTGTGTGTGTGTGTGTGTGTGTGGTAGAAGCTACTATATGAGAAATGTGGAGATACGCCTTTAGTTCAATTCTTTAGCTGCTAACTAATTTAGAGTTCTTACTGTTGTTTTAGTCAGGAAATAATGAAATATATCATCAATAAAAAGTTAAAGGAACAAGGTGAATCAGTCCAATGGGAGAATCTAAATCTTCCCAGGGATCTGTCCAAATCCATAAAAAGAGTACCATTTGATAGGTAACAGCAGGGGATTAAAGACTGAAGCAGTTTGCTGCAGGCTATGAATGACCTGATCCCTTAATCCATCTGTCTTTTTATATGAGAATGTTATGCTAATTAGCTGAGTAAATTGTTTCCTGATGATATTAATTTTGTGCCTTTCTGTTATTCTAGGCTTTGACTTTCACTGTGATAAAAATATACGAAGGGGCATTTTCAATTTAGATGGTTCCTATCCTGATAAATTCCAACACAGCAATGTTGTGGGGGAAACATGTATAAATAGCAAGCTTAATCAATCCCGAGGATAGACATAGATGACTTTAGCTTCCTATATAATCATTCCCTTTAGCTTCTAAAGCATTACATTAACACACTTGAAATGTTAAAACATAATTCAAGGAGAATTTTAGGAAATGCAATTTTCATTGCCCCATTTTCTTTGGAGAAAATCAAGACTTGAATTCATTAACATGGAGGAAGTAATGGAACAGATAGTCGTGATGTGAAATCCTGCAGGTGTTGTGTTCTGATAATGCATATCCTTTACAAGTTTGGGTAAATTATTTGCTTTGCATATAAATTAACTCCAAAGCTGAATCAACATTAGAATAATAAAAATGTAGAGAATATTTTTATTCCAAGGAAGCAAAGATTTATAGCAAAATATATCCAAATCCTAGATGCAATTTCAGGAGGATAGATTTAAAAATATTTATCATACTCCAAAAAGAAAAAGGAGAAAGAAAAAAGGAAAAATACATACAATTGAGAGAAAGGAGGAATGGTTTTGGAAAATACAATATTATGTTATTATTGTTACATTAGGGAGAAAATAATTGAGAATCGATACATTTGTTTTTCAGTATAAAAACAAAAAGATGGCACTTATTTAACAATTCTTAAGTGATGTCTTCTGAGCTCCACTTTATTGGGTATGTATTGTTCCTAAGCTAAAATCTAATTTCAAAATATTACGTATTACAGGTGTAATGTTGTCTTGGTCTGTGTTGTGCTGCTGTAACAACACCTGAGACTGGGTAATTTATAAAGAAAAAAAGGTTTATTTAGCTTATGGTTCTGGTGGCTGGAAAGTCCAAGACTATGGCATTGGCATCTGTTGAGCTTCTGATGAGAGCCACATGCTATGTCACAGCAAGGCAGAGAAACAAAATGGAAATCAGGCAAATCATTGCTTTATAAAAGAGGCAACTTTCTTTAGAATGACCGGCTCTTATGAGAACTAATCCATTATCATGAAAAATAACCCAGTTTCACCAGAAAGTTATTAATTTGTCTTAATGACCTAATCACCTCTTCAAAGAACGATCTCCTAACACCTTACATGGGAAATTAAATTTCGACATGAATTTTGGAGAGAATAACCCATGTCCAAACTATAGCAAGGGTAAAGACCCCAAATTTACTTAGACATGGGGATTAATAATCATGTGTCATTGCCAATAAATGTTTTCTTTCTTTTGCACTTCCAAAGAATTTTTTCACCACCTATTTTCCTCTATGTTTTTCTTTCTCTAGTATTTCTTTCTCTAAAAATTTGTGCTTGTGTAAATAATTTGCAAATGCAACTTTTTTCTTCTTTGAAATGATAGCTAAATTCAAATTACTTTTATCTTATTCAAAGTTCAGAGAAAAATTCAGAAGTGACCTATTAGATGTTTGAGGATGTGCTATACTACATCAGGTGCACAAGTTCCTGTGAATAAGAAGCAAAAAAGCTAGCACTTTCCCCACTTCTGTTTTTAAAGAATAAGCTTATCAATGGATATTGAGGAAAAAAACTACTGGTAATATTTAAATGGTAAAATGGGTATGGTAAAATAATATTACGAGCATTTTTTCAAGTAATACATTTTGAACTTTAAGTTTTCTTCTGTTAATTTTATCTGTTTATAGGAGTAATCCTGTTTTGTTCACTTCAGTATATTCACTATTCCTTTCCCTTACAGTCAAGCATTGGACATGGCCTTGATATTGCTGGTGATTACCCATAGGGCTCAATGTTCATCTTTTGTTTCTAAATTCCAAAAGCAAAGTTGATTCTAAAGGATGATAATAATCATTAATAATTCATAGAATACCTATCTCCAAAACAGAATCAGGAATGCTATAGACAATAATAAGCACACATTAAACCAACTGGGCACTGTGCCAAGAAGATCAGCCAAGTACACACAATAGGCAAGAAAAGAGCTTGTATGTGTGTAAGGAGAAATAAGAAAGGGAAAGCAACACGTAAAAGGCTTCCAAACAGAACAACCAGGGAGTCAACAGATTTTCAAACTTTCACAGAAACCAGAAATATTTTGAAGTCATTTCTGCTGGGTCTACTAACTGTCTTACAATGTAAGATAGCCATGAACCCCAATGGAAGAAGTAGAAGCAAATTGAGTATATTCTAAAAAATTCAAAATTTGTAGGCATATTAAGTTTTAGGTTTTACAAGCTTACAAGTGGTGAATTACAAGACCACAATATAGGTGTAGGTTTATGGGCTTTTTTATTTGTGATGATGACTTAAACCAACCTTCTTTTTTCTATATGATTTGTTGAAATTAAAGCACTGTACATGTGATTATGACAAGGAACAAGGAGTCTCATGTATATGTTTTCTTATATTATAAAACAGCACCTGAACTTTTTCATGTCAGATCTCTGCTGGCAAATTAAAGGAGGAAAATACCCCCATGAACTGAAGAAACCTATGGAAGTTAGCTTATTGAAATGCTGCCAGAGTCTTCATTTAGAGGGGTTTTTATAGGTAGTAGGTCTAAAGGATACTAGCAAACAAAAAATGCTAACAACATTTTTTTTCCCAAGGGAGAAGTACCCCACCAAATTTATTCCATGTAGGCCTGAGGGTTGGATACTAATTTACTTACCATGTATTTATTATAAAACACTACTTAGGCAGGTGTGACCAAGCTATAATTGGCAAGAAACCAGGGATGTACATTTGCTTTTGTTATTATAGCTAAACTAGAAGAAGACTAAATCCTTTAATAGGAATAAAAAGTTAACACAATGATTTAATTTAGTTCTACTTAGTATAGATAACATTTGGTAGAGCTTCAGGAACTTACTATATATTTTAGCCCTTAATTTGTAATGAAGGCATTGACAGTATAAATCTTGGGATAAACTAGGTAAATAAATTACTTTTTTTGAATATGAATGTTCTTTTTTATTTATCCTGGAGTCATATTCAGTGAAGTGAGAAATGCATTTTGTTAAACTGACACCTAGATTTCAGGGAGAATATACTCAAATGATAAAATATTTATATCAAGAAAATAACTTTTACTCCATGACATTATATTATTTATCAGATATGAGTGTCATTAAAATTCATTTTCAAACTGTGTAAAAGAGAATGATTCCTATGCCAATGTTTTCTTACAGTGTGAAATCTTATATTGATAAAAGTACAATATTTATATATGAAATTTTGGAAAGCTTTGAGCATAAAGTTCTCAGTCACATCATAACATTTTCTCTGACAGTGTGTGTGTCTTAGGGTAGGGAAAGAGAGTGGTTGAATGTCCATATCTTACTAACTAAGATGGTATGCCCACTGTCTTAACAATTTACTTCCTGTATTGACTCGACTAATTAGGCTGCCATAACTTTATTTCTTAATTGTTAATATGTTGGGGAAATTATCAATAAGTATAGAAAATGACAAAGTTATTGTTTCTGAAAAACTATGAAAAAGAGGATAGCCTTACTTATGCAGAGCCTATTAAAAAGAGAGTACTTTTTCTTCTTAAAATGCATAGCTTGACCAGCTCCATTTAACACTGTTTTTTAAAAGACGTGTTAATATCCTAATGGTATAAATGAATTCAGTCATGACTAGTTGAGTCAAAGAGATTTAAAAATTATTTGAACTGTTTTATCAAATTTCTAGCTCATTGTTTAGTGCTAGATATTCACAAAACAAATAGTTAAGTTCCTAAGATTATTGTTGCAAACTGTGGGAACTAAAAGTCTTTAATTACATTACTTTGAAAGCAAAAAGTGGTTTCCATGCAAAATATTTTAAAGGATTTCTACCCAATGTCAAATTTTCTCATCTATTCATTTAATAAGAATTGATTAAATATCTGTTGTGTCTTAAAAATCAATGACGAATAACATCCTAAACTTCAGCAAGCATATGGTTGAACACTAAATAAAGAACAAAAACCAAGGTAATTACAGTAGAGTGTTTCAGTGATATATTACCACCAAGAACAGAGAGCTATAAAAATCACTGGAAGAACAACTAACTGAATCTTTGGGGAGTGAAGAAAAGCTTTCTTTGGAAAATAACCTCTAATCTCATATCTAAAGGACCAGTAGGAGTTATCCATAAAAAGGAGAAAGAAAATTCCAGGTAGTTGAAATGGCTTGCTGAATTGCAAGGGCACAGATTACTAAAATGTTTAGTAATACTCATGGTAATTTTGTTTATATTTTTGAAACAGATATCATGTAGTCAACACAATAGGTCAAATCAGGACCTTTGGTACACATAACCCTTTGTCTGTAAGGTGTTGATAGGTATCATTTGAATAAAATTGGTGATATTTAGTGTTTATTGGTGTTTGGGAAAAACATGTGCTTCCTAAAATTTTAGCATATTTTCCTATATGATTTCTCATTAATAAATTAATGCACAAAGCAAATATCCAGGAGGTGTTAATAGTAAGCAGTAATTTCCAAAATTGCATGACCAAGAAACTTTTTACTCATAGAATAACTGAAATACTTTTCTCAGGAATATACTTTGAGAAATATTGCTTAAATACATGTGGAAAAAAAGTGTTCTAAATCCAAGTTCTTTATGATGGAGATTACTGAATCCAAGTGTTCTAAATCCAAGTTCTTTATGGTGGAGATTACTGAAAAAGTATGGGAGAAAATTATACATTTTGATAGAAAATCGTAAGAGTTGAACGGTGTTTGCCCAAAAGGTTTGTCCACCCAGAATCTCACAGTCTGACCTCAATCGTAATAAGCATCTTTGAAGATGTAATAAGGTAATAAAGTGTGCTCATCCTCTATTACAATAAATTCTAAATCTAATGAGTGTCCTTATAAGAGATAGAATAACAGAAAGACACAGAAAAAGCGGGGAGGCATGTGAAGACAGAGTCAGAGAGACTGGAAAGACAAAAACCGCTAAGAATTGCTGACAGCATGGAATGGGTTTTTTCTGGGTCTCCAGTGGAAACCAATACTGCCAACACATTCATTTGTCTTCTGGCCTCCAGACCTGTGAGAGAATCAATTTCTGTTGCTTTAAGTCATCAAGTTTGTTGTAATTTGTTATGACAACCCTGGAAACCTAATACAACAATGTGATGCTTTAGAACCAGTTGTGTTCGAACAAATTTAAGCCTTAACTCATATTCTTACCAAACAGTCCCCAATGAATTATGGATGTCCTTTGATTTCATGTCCTTGCATTATCCTCCCAACCAGACAATAGATTAGCCTTGTGAATTAGTTGAGCCATGAGAATGCAGCTAAAGAGACACTGTATAAGTTTCAGTCCTAGGCTTAAGGAAGCTTTATAGCTTTTGTTTACTCTGTCTTTTACCTTGAGCCACTGTGCAAAGATGTCTAGGTTAGCGTCCTTGTGGATGAGACACCTTATGATGAAAAAGACCAGGAGGAATGAAAGACTGGGAAGATAGAGAGGAAGACCCAGTTAGTTTCTAGTCATTCCAGCACAACATATGAATGGGGCCAGCTAGGATCCTCCAGTCCCTATGGAGCTGCCTCTAAATACAAACATATTAAATAGTCCAGCAGAAGACACCATCTAGGGAAGAGATGAGCCACCCAGCTGAGTTCAGCCCAGATTGAAGAATCATGAGCAGGTCCATCTGTGCTACTTAGCTGTTTTAAGCTGCTATGTTTAGACTGGTTTATTATGCAGCAATAGAAAGCTGTAACCATCTAATATGATTATCAAGTATGTGTTTTTAAAACAAAGACAAAAAAGATGAACAGATATAAGATTAGGTTGTGTGCTGTAGCAAAGGTGGATTTGACCTTTTTTTAAGTTAAGAATTTTGATAATCTACCATACATTTTTAAATTCTTTCTTGCATTAACTTTATCTCTGGATAAAAAATTCAGGCCACCCGTAAGTAAATAGAAACAGTAGGCATAAATACACAAAAGGAAAGTTATATTAAAATTCTGCAGAAATGTAACAAGAATAAAAAAGCTGAACTGGATTTTTAGGATGTTCTACACTCAGCTTTTATGAGAAACAGACAAATGACAATCTCATGCCAAGGATTTGTTTTAAAAGGCTGTATAACAGGTAGACCATTGACTAACACATGTTTTACCACCTTTATCTTCAGAGTACTGCAGACAAATGATATTCATAATGACTCTACACGATACTGAAATGGTATCTGAATATTAACAACTAAATTCTGACCAGTTATGATTTAAAACATTTAGCTATTTATTGATTGTTATTTTTTTTAAAACTTGGAATGTGCATTATATGTATATTTAACTATAAAGTCACTGAACATTTAATTAACATATGTCCTGTTTTTCAATCATTACTAGGAGTAATCTTTATAGAAATACAAGTAGCAACCATTACCACAAATGAATTCTCATAAGAAACAGTTATTCAAGTCTTTTTCTCTCTCTCTTTGTCAAACGCATGTGCACACACACACACACACACACACTTTGTATGCCTGTGGATTGTGTGAGAGAGAGAATGAGCCTGTAAATACAGAATTATATCAGAATTCTTGTAGCAAATAAGCTATCAGGAAAATTGAGCCAACTTAGTCTTGGTCTTGTGAAGGACATTTTCTCTTTTCTGACCTAGTCTTTTCTATTAAGTGAAAGATGTCACACAATGACCACTCATCTATTTTTGATGGATACATGAATTGTACATTACGTGGAAAGAAGAGAGAAAATAATCCTAATTTTATATAATGTACAGGTTAGAAAGCCTGATACAGACTAATATAAAATTAATGCTTTGAATAAATTTGTTTATACTATTGCTCTGTTAGTGTTGCTACTTTTGGTTTGTTTTTCAATTGTTTTTCCAATATGTATTTAGTTTGATTTTTAATAATCTTCTCTCTCTCTTTTTTCTTTTCTTCTCCTTTACCTCTTGCTCCTCTTCCTTACTCTCCTTGCCTTCCTCCTCAGTCTCCTCATCCTCATCTTCCTCCTCATCCTCTTTCTTTGTTTTCATTACAAAATAAAATAAGCAATCAGAAAAGTTCATACAGATATTGTTACTTATCTTTAGGGACCTGGATCTAACTTAGTGCTGTTGCTTCTGTTTCTTCCCTTTTGTCCTCCTCTTCTTTTTCTCCTTTGTGTTCTGTTTTACTTTTTAAAAATAGATGCCACAACTCTGATTTTTAATCTGATTGTGTAAATGATCCTTAATAGTAAAATCAATTTTAATATCTTATAAAACAGAAGCACAGCAAAGCATTTTGCAGAATTTACCATAAAGTAAATAATAACCATTCCTAGTATGATAATGCTGCAACTATTTTTCTTTCATCCTCTGCAACATTTTTATCTGACACAGTCTCTGCTGTTTCCAAGTTCAACGTCCTGCAGCAAGCCTTGCCAGCAATACAGAATACTTTCAATTAGTAGTTCTCTACTTCTCTGGTCGCTAAGCAACTGACCTGTGGTGAAGAATACATAATGATCTGCATAGACACCTTAGAGCAATAGAAAGTATAAGCTTCACAAGTTTCATTTGCTCTCTTGTGTTGATGTTACAATAACCAGTTAAATGCATGGAAATATTTGATAGTAGTTTGCTATAATAAACTTTAATAAAGATTAAAAGAAGCCTTGGAGAAAGGTAGAAATAAACACAACATAAAATATTGTATTTGTCATTTGTTCATGTATGTCATTTTACTGTTTATGGGGAGGGCAAGCAATCAGGTTAATATTTTATTAAATGTTTATATTCTAGCTACTGTTTAAGACAGAATTCATCAAGTAGCAGAAGTAATGGAAGGGCCAAGGGGAAGAAAGATGGACAAAACCTGAAAATTGAAAGTACAATAAAATGAAAATTACAAATGAAAACCAGTATGCCTGAGTTATACATGACTGTTTAGTAGAGTGTCTTCATGTGGGTTAAAGAAGAAAAGGAAATACCAGCTGGAATCAGCAGAACAGATTTAGCACTTGACCCTTGGATACTTTTCATTCTATTTATCTATCATATTTTTATTGGTTTGTATTCCATTGACTACTATATGCACCGACCCTCAGCAAATTCATTCAATAGAGAGGAGAGATTATATCTCCACTGTATCAGTGGAGCTGCTTAGGAACATTTCTCCCGCTTCTTGCATGTATTTTGTCCTATTTGTACATTGTATTTTATGAGCTGCTTTAGAATAGTAGAATAACTTTCCTTTATATGGTATAGAACTTTTGATATATCTCAAATAAATTTTTTAAAAATGATCAATTGAAATGTATGTTCTCATACTGTATGTGCAAATATCAGTAGTACAAACACTAAGGATTAATGAAAATGAAAATCCTAATATATAAAACTTAGAAAAATAGACTAAATATTTACTGAAAAGAAACAGATAACCAAAATTTCGTGATACACAATGAAAAGCCTTGAGACATTAAAGAGGACTTTCACTGCCTTTGATGATGTCATCCTTTACCTATTAAGTTCTTCTAGCATGGTAACTAGAACTAAACTTTTAACTTCCTTTTAAACCACACACTGAATGCATCTGTGAAAAAGACCTGCATACTACAAGATAACTTTAATTACATATCTTCTGTGGGGTCCGTGCTTTTAGTTTAGTATAGGTTTATGCAAAGTGATACTATTGGTAATGTGTAATTTAAACACACACACAAACTAACAGGCCCTGCCGCCTATCAATGTCTGGGTGATATCAGAGAAGGCCGTGTGGGAATCTAGAACTTTCTTCTCTGCCAGGTAGTTACAATGTGCCCCGTCCTTCTCCACCAGATTCCTTAGGTGTCAAAGTAAACTAAGTGAGAAGTTGGAACTTTCACCATCATCTAGTGGTAAAAAGGTCCAAGGCCTCCTGATGTTTGCCTTCCCTTCAGTGTAGGCCATAGTGGGAGCAGAAACAAGAAAAAAATCCCCCACTCTCCAAAGGTGGTTGAGCAGGGATAAATTTTTATCACCACCTAGCAATAACAAGGCACCCCCACTTTCACCATGTGTGGTGTCACAGGAGGTTTATTTCCAAGAGTTAAAATACAGAGCCTCATAGCATAATATCCAAATTACCCTAGATACGTTGAAAATTACTCAGCATATCAAGCACCAGAAAAAAAATCTCATCTTGAATGAGATAACACATGCCAACACAGTGATAACACATAAATTAGATTTATTCACAAGGATTTTAAAGCCACCACCATAAACATGTTTTAATGAGCAATTGCGAATATGCTGGAACAAATGAAACAATGGAAAGCTTTACAAAGAAATAGAAGATGCCAAGAGACAAATAGAAATTTTGGCACCGAAAAATATAATTGAAACTTTAAAAAATACTTGATGGCTCAATAGGGTAATGGAGGAAATAGAGAAAAGAATAAGTGAACTTGAAAATAGGACATTAAAAATTTACTAATCCAAAGACCAGAGGGAGTATAGACTGAAAATGAAAAAAAAAAAAAGAACAGAGCCTCAAGGACCTATAAGACTATAGCAAAAAATCTACTATTCATGTCATCAGAGTCCTAGAAGGAAAGGCAAAAGTGGGTTGGGCTAAAAATATATTTGAAAAAATAATGTCCAAAACGTTTTCGAGTTTGGCAAAAGACATACAACTACAGATTCAAGAAATGAGAAAATCTAAAACGGGACAGATACAAAAAAATCAACAAAGAAACAGGTCAATTTCAGAAAACAGCAGAAGAAAAAATCTTGGAAACAGTGAGGTAAAACAATGCTTCATCTCTCCAGAAGAAAAACAATTTGAATGACAATGATTTCCTGTCAGAAATAATGGTGGCCAAAAGGAAGTGATATATTTCTCAAGTACTGCAAAACAAGAACTGTCAATCCAGAATTCTGTATTAGGCAAAAATGTCCTTTAGAAATGAAGGAGAATTAAATAAATTCTCAGAAGAAGAAAAATTAAGAATTGGTTGCAAACAGACCTACCCTAAAGAAAAGCAAAAAGTTCTTGAAACATAAAATGAATAAGGGGCCTGAAATCATCAGAAAAATGTAAGAGTAACAGAAAGAGCAAAAATATGAATAAGTACAACAGATTTTTCTTCTTGAGTTTTCTAAATTATGTTTGACTTTTGAATCAAAAACTGTAACATCGAAATGGTTATCAATACCTAAATGAAAAATTTTTAAAATTATATAAACAAGGATGGGTAAAGAGACTTCCAACGAGATAAGATTTTTACACTTCACTAGAAGTGTTAGATATTTTGATAGTGGTAGTGGTCACAAGAATTTACACATGTAATAAAATGACAGATGTATGCATACACATTTTTTCAATGTCAATTTCTTGGTTTTAATGTTTTACTGTAGCTACAAAAAAAATGTAACCACTGGGGAAACTAGGTGAAGAGTATGAGAGACCTCTCTGTACTATATTTGCAACCTTCTGTAAATCTATAATAATTTCAAATCAACAGTTAAAAAATAAAAATATATCTAATAGACCAATAGTTTCATATGGAGGGCAGAATGATTTAAAAAAATGAGATATTTTGTTTATGCATACCTGTAAAGGCATCCATGAAAGGTATTATTAACATTTGAAATTATGTAAGTCCAATGCTGCAGGAACATGGGCATACTATAGCTTATTTTAGATGCTTTAGAAAGCCAAAGTCATCTCTGGTAAGTTCTACTTTGATGATAATAACCTGAGAGACTTCTCAGTCTCCAAAATTGCACTATTTCTAAAATATAAGTAAATATTCCCTTCATCCTAAATCTTTCAAAGTTTAAGAATGTCATTGATAGTCTTTGCTTTAGAGGAAAATACAGAGATCAAGAAAAAAGGTCTGGAAAAATGAAAAAAATAATTTTAAAAGCTTCCTCAGAGAGAAAGAGTTTCAGACGGATATAGTTTAACTACATTAACTCAGCCATGAATTTCTTACTTCTCTTCTAGTACCGGTTACTCTTTTGCTGAATGAATCTACCTTATGAACACAAGTTAAAAAAAATGTACCCATGATAAGTAAAACATTATTAAATACAGCTATTTTTATAAAAGTTTCAAGTCAAAAATGGATCCATTTCTGTTCTTCTTCTTACAGGGAGTTGCTTATTTCCCATCCTTCATTAAAAGGGCCAAAAAGTATACTCATCTGTAGTAGAGAATATGCATAATGTTTATTAACTCATGCTTATTATAATGTTAACACATTATCTGCCACTCCAAGAATGTGGGCATATTTAGAAAATGTTCAATATGGTATCTATAAATTATTCTATGGCAGACTTTGATTTAATTCTTTTCATCTTCATTTAATAACAGTGGAGTGGTTCTTAATATCATATTTTCATTATTTGCATGTCCTTTGCAAGAAGGCTTGGGAACCTATTTACCCCAAAATAAGTTCCAAACAGGTCAGACTTCTAATTGTTCATACAAATAACTAAGGATTAGAAATATAGATGCTATACAATTCTAATATAAATCTTTTGGTATTAACCCCTCACCATTGAAAACACATTAACTGACTTGTAGTGTTTGATCGTTTCCACACAAAGAAGATGGATCACTGTATGTCTCTTAATATCTACATAGCCTTAAACCAGAAGATAGAACATGATTGTTCAGGAGAGTCACATGATTTCAATCAAATTATTGTAAGTATGTCATTTGAGCAGAAATAACACAATGTGCAGAATACTGCAAGTGAATTTTCTTTTCGCCAAATAGTGTGAGCTAAATCATGTTTACTATAGTGATAATATTAATTATTCGATGGATATGCTAGAATTATTCTACTGATCTTATGTTGTTTTCTGACCACATTTTCCAAAACACTTTAAATTGTGCTTTACCCTTTCATACCCTTTTATTGTTTACTGATTCATTCCACAAATTAAAATTAACTATTGGTACTAATGTGTACTGAAACAAAAAACAATAATGTCACTTCAGATTGTGACTGATTCTTAAAATATTCTCCATGGTCTTCATGGCCTAATGGTTTTAAGTTATACACACAGTATTTCACTTAAAATATTATGGAAAGCAGCACCTGGAGCTTTAAACAAGTTACTTAGTTTATATCTGTAGTTTATAAATCATGATGTGTTAAACTTTATTATGATCTTACAATTTGAATTTAATTCTTTTATAATGTCTCTAGGTCCTCCTGATGATAGATAGATAGATAGATGATAGATAGATAGATAGATAGATATTTTCCTTTTAGAAAACCTCTTGCTTTTCTCATATCCCACTCTCTGACAGCATTATATTCAAGAGCAAGGGTGGGAAATGTGTTGACTGCCAAGGTATTAGATAGCTAGGTTAAATGCCAAAATTAAACTGATATAAAAAGTAATACAGAAACAAGAAAAAAAAGTGGAAAATGAAAACATAACCTTGTAAAGTTTTTATTCTAATATACAGGTATGTTAATGAAAATAATAGAATGGTTTCTGAAAGACATAAATGGACAGTATTGTTTTATGAATACATCAGTAAGAAAATACTTTAACAGGAACGGGAAATTCTCCAGGTTCAGTGTGAGATTTCCACCTATAATTTTCATTTGGCTGGCTAGACTGACTTGCGTTACTTGAGTTATGCTATTTTAAAAGTATTTGTCACCAGTATGTATCCCTTCTTTGATATTTTTCCTCCCTTCTACAGTGACTTTTAAAATCCAAATCTAATCAAGCTGCCACTGAGGACATATTGTTATATTAAACATACAAATGTTTAAGCCTTATTAAATACAGACTGGGTTTCAGTAAATCAGAAATGGTTAAAAAAAAAAAAAAAAAAAGAGGCCAGGCGCGGTGGCTCACGCCTGTAATCCCAGAATTTTGGGAGGCCGAGGCGGGCGGATCACGAGGTCAGGAGATTGAGACCATCGTGGCTAACATGGTGAAACCCCGGCTCTACTAAAAATACAAAAAAATAGCCAGGCCTGGTGGCGGGCACCTGTAATCCCAGCTACTCTGGAGGCTGAGGCAGGAGAATGGCGTGAACGCGGGAGGCAGAGCTTGCAGTAAGCGGAGATCGCGCCACTGCACTCCAGCCTGGGCGACAGAGCAAGACTCCGTCTCAAAAAA
Source organism: Homo sapiens (assembly GCF_000001405.40). Classification (NCBI taxonomy): domain Eukaryota; kingdom Metazoa; phylum Chordata; class Mammalia; order Primates; family Hominidae; genus Homo; species Homo sapiens. Next base: position 63,279,025 of record NC_000009.12, on the reverse strand, counting down.
AAAAAAAAAAAAAAAAAGTGGATGAAAAATAGTATAAAAGGAATTACTCCCTAATTATTTATATTGTGCTAAATAAAATTCCCAGTTCCAAAACCAAAATGTAATGACTGCACCATTTTTCACTTTTTCTAGATGTGGTCAGAGACTTTAAATGAGAGAAATGATACATGCATATACTTGGAGAGTAATAGGTATTGCTGAATAATATAAAGTTTGAGAATACACTTTTGCTTAAAACGTAAAATTGGTGATTTATATTATTTTATTTTTAAATGTAGAAATAGCTAAAGTATAAATTTTGTATAATGCAAGTGCTTTTCCTAGGTTTTAGTTTTGTTTTAATTTAGGAGTAAGGGTAAAGAAGCTATTTATAAATAGTACTAAGTCCGTGTGTTCTTTTCTCTAAATACATCTTGATGTGTTACGAAGATCAAATGTTCTGAAAAAGCAAATTTCCTCTAAACCTGAGTCCTCTCTTTCACTAGCAGAGAGAAAAAGTCTCTGCTAAAGTTACTGGATGAAAACAGAAACTGTATATTTGACTCTATTAAAGGAAAAAATAAAATGTTTTTTATAATATTAAGTCAACTTGAAATAAAAGAAAAAAGTTAGCTATTCAGGCCTGTCCCTAACATTTGTGGAAGTTCAGAAGTATTGCAAATCTAGACCCACATATTAATGACTACATATTTATAAGACATCAATCAAGCTTAAGAACTGTTAAAGTGTATTGAAATTCCTACATTGACAACTTCATAACAACTTAAAAAATTAAATTGAAATCTGCATTCTTGGACTGCCAGGAGAGGTCCACAATGGAATGTGAGGATTGGAAAGAGGCCCCAGGTCATAGCCAATTTCATTCTCTTTCCACCCCTCTTTCCATCTTGCTGGATGAGGGGTTTGTTACATCCAAGATACTGCAGCCTATTTGTCCAGCATCTCCTCATGAGACATCCCTTTGACCAAGGGTTGTACACACCAGTCCACCTTCAAAAAGGCTGGTGTAGGGAATGGCCTTGAATAGACCTTGAAAGCAATCTTAGGACCTTTTATTTCTCCTAAAGAGGAATCCAGAGTCTTGAGTATTGGTACATTGGCATAGCACATGGATGGGCATGAGTCTTGTTTCACATGAGCACATTCACTTGTTTTGTGGACTCATCGCCACTTCCCCTTCTACTCTCCTTCCCAGCCCCCATGGGAGGAAGGTGAAAGTGGTTTGTGGTTCACTCTAAAGGGCTGGCCTAGAACCTGAGTTCCTCTTCCCTTTAGTCTAAGTTTAGCACTGCAACTATCTTGTTCCACTGTTCACATTTACCACGAAATGGGTCAAACATACAAAGAGAGCCTAAAGACACTTTTAATACATATTCGTAAATGAAAGTTTATTAATAAAATTGAAGGAGACGTATCAACACATAGTCACTTCTTTTCTAGAAAACACTCCCTACTTTATAGAATTGCTATGTGTATAGTTCCTCAGTAAGTACTATGTGTGAACAGAAGATGTAGAATACAGATCTTTTATCTTCAGGTCACTTAATATCCAAGTCTGAACATAAGAAACATAAACACAAAAAAGTAACTTTCAGAAAAGTGCTATGCAATATATATTGGGGATCTTCTAAGGAGGGAGATGCCATCGTGGACTATGATGATCAAAGAAAGGTTAATAGAGCTTCCTATTATGTGATACTCTTCAATAATATGGGGAAGATGAAAAATGCATTATGGATTATTCAAAAGACAAGTGCAAATTTGGTGATAAGCATAGAAAACATTCAGAAGTATAGAATGCATACATTAGACAGAATAATGTGATTGTTTCAGAATATTTGAATATACAATTAGAAGTAAATGTTGGGACAAATTATGAAGGATTTAGAATATTAGATGTGAGAATTTGAACTTTATTCATAAATAATCAAAAAAAGAAAATGATTGTAAATTGCTCAAAAAAGGGCTATCCATCAAAAGGAGAGTCAGGGAATAACATGTATTTTGTGCATTCAAAAAAAAAAAAATCAAAAGACTGTCTTCCACTTTCACCTTTTAAGTGTAAGGGTCACAGAAGGTAAAGAAAGTAGAAATAAATTTGAGAAATCATTGAAAAAAAGAATTTAAGCATATGAGTAGGCATAGGCAAACCAAGGTAATGACAATGTCTGTGACCACAAATTTTTGATCAGTTTGACAATAGTACCTTTGACATAAATAGGAGAAACTTGAGTCAGGAACCTTGTCCTTTACTCATAGCACCTGGCATAAGAGCTGGAGCCAGTTTTATGTTTTTGCTAGTTTTTGTTTGTTTTCTTTATACATAAAACAAAGTAAAAAATGAAAATGGCCAGAAAAAAGTTGGAAATTTGAGACTGGATCTCAGGATAGGTATTATGATGTATTTTTAGTATACTCATTTACATAGAGATGATGGTTTACACTATTTTGAGAAAAAGTAATGGTTTAGATGGAAAGTTAAAAATCAAGAAAAGAAATAAGGCATTAGACAGAAACAAAAATATTCAGGATAGGTTCATGTTATAGAAGCCTTAAAAGGACAGGTTGATAGATTTTAAAAATATTACAGTAAATAATAATGTTAGAAAGAAATTGATCACAAATTTCTCACCAAACATGCTATCACAATCAGATTACCTCAAACCAGAATGTAATCAAAACCATTGCCTCTTTCTCTAACAACAAAGATTACTATTTACTACTGCTGTAGCATTTTGATACCTTCAGGTCTATAGGAAAGGAATAAAACACCAAATGATTCTCAGCACAAAAATGGATAATGAATATCCATTTATTGTTATTAAAATAATGGGCATGATTATGCTAATAGGTAACATTCTTTCTTTAGTATGAAATTGCATTGTATTGTGTCTAAGAAAAAGTGTTGGTTGTTTTTGCAAAGTATAATTCAGGAGATTAATTGTATTCACCAATCCACAGTTTTCACTAATGAGAAGTGAACTGGAATTTGAAAGCACATACACTTTTCCCCTTAAACAATTGCCCACTCCATTTTGCAAGCTGAGAAATGGAGAAAGAGGGATATCAATCTAGGTAAAGTCTGAGGTGCTACTTGTATTAACAGGACTCAGGAATCAAAAATCTGTACTTCCTCCCATAAAAAGGGGTGCGATTTTTCCCTGTAGACAGTGAGTTAATGTGGCTGCCTTCAAAGGCAAACAGACTTCAATGTGACTAGAAGAAAAGGACAATGGAGTGTCCCCAAAAGAGAGGCATGTTTTTTAATGAATGAAAAACCAGAGATACTTTTCAAAATAATAGAATAACATGGCTTATTTTCATTATATTACAATACATTTAGTAGACTGTCCTGTCCTTCAGAAATAAGAGCCACAGTGAAATGACAATAATACATAGTAACCCTTTACTATGAGCCTAACACTAAAAATATTATTTTGTATTTATTGTTTTATTTAATTTTCACAAAAATATAATGCCTATACTACCAATACACACTTTTGCAGATGAGAAAATTGTATCAGAAGATGTAATGAAATTCTTCAACTTTACATACCTAATAACTGCTAAGATTGGCATTTGAATATACTTTGTCTGATTTTAGAGATTGTGACCTTAACCACTATGTCATACTTCCTTCCTGAAGTGTTACTGATTCACATAGACACACAAATCTGGGCTTGGCTAGGTTCCTTTTCCCAAAGAGAGAGATGGGAAAATCTACTCCTTAAATGGACTATCAAACCAAACTTTAGATATCTTAGTCACAGAATACTATAAGTTAGTATATTTTATTTCTTAGTAGGTTATTAATGAAAAATTTTAGGAAGAAACTTAAAGCATAACAACACATTGTTACAATAGGGAGTTAGAGATGAAATATTTTTAATAAAGGAAGGACTATGTAATAGTAGCCATATCAAGGAGGTCTTTTGGAATGGACTAGCATGAGTCTGCATTAGTACAGGAGGAACCACAGAGGATTAACAGCTTAAAGCTGATAGAGAATATTTGATGCTAGAGATAAAAGGAATTGATTGAATTTAAAGTTCTAGTGGAAAAGTTAGTCTGGACAATGGGCACTGAAAATTCAAGAATGGGTGATTTCAAATGTAGGAAAATGTGAGCTAGGATGATTTATAGGTACATAAAGGAGCTCTTTATAGATGGTCACTGATGGTTTCAATAAAGTAGAAATGAGTTCATTTGTCAAGAATAAAGAAATTGGGACCATTGGGAGCTTAAGGTGATTAGGCAAAGCTTGGCATAGATGCTGACAGAAGTGTATCAGAAACGTAACAGGTCCAATCTTACTGATCTACCTTTATTGATTCATTTGTTTACTTGTTCATTCACTTTTTATTTAACAAAGAATTTAGTCATAACATTTTATATTATATTTATGTATATATTTAAATTATATTTATATTTATTTAGCTCCCCACCCCACAACAGGCCCCAGTGTGTGATGTTCCCCTGCCTGTGTCCATGTGTTCTCGTTTTTCAACTCCCACTTATGAGTGAGAACATGCGATATTTGTTTTTCTGTTCCTGTGTATTTTTGCTGAGAATGATGGTTTCCCACTTCATCTGTGTCCCCAGGAAGGACATGAACTAATCCTTTTTATGGTTGCATAGTATTCCATGGTGTATATGTTTCACATTTTCTTTATCCAGTCTGTCATTGATGAGCATTTTTGTTGGTCCCAAGTCTTTGCTATTGTGAATACTGCTGCGTAAACATACATGTGCATGTGTCTTTATAGTAGAATGATTTATAATCCTGTGGGTATATACCCGGTAAAGGGATTCCTGGGTCAAATGATATATCTGGTTCTAGATCCTTGAGGATTCACCACATTGTCTTCCACAATGGTTGAACTAATATACATTCCCACCAACAGTGTAAAAGCGTTCCTATTTCTCCACATCCTCTCCAGCATCTGTTCTTTCCTAACTTTTTAATGATATCCATTCTAACTGGCTTATGCCAGATGGCATCTCATTGTGGTTTTTTTTAATTATACTTTAAGTTTTAGGGTATATGTGCACAACATGCAGGTTTGTTACATATGTATACATGTGCCATATTGGTGTGCTGCGCCCATTAACTCATCATTTAACATTACGTATATCTCCTAATGCTATCCCTCGTCCCTCCCCCCACCCCACGACAGGCCCCGGTGTGTGATGCTCCCCTTCCTGTGTCCATGTGTTCTCATTGTTCAATTCCCACCTATGAGTGAGAACATGCAGTGTTTGTTTTTTTGTCCTTGCGATAGTTTGCTGAGAATGATGGTTTCCAGCTTCATCCATGTCCCTACAAAGGACATGAATTCATCATTTTTATCTCATTGTGGTTTTGATTTGCATTTCTGTAAAGCCCAGTGTTGAATTTTTTTCATGTGTTTTTTGGCCACATAAATGTCTTCTTTTGAGAAGTGTCTGTTAGTATGCTTCGCTCACTTTTTGATGGGATTGTTTTTTTTTCTTCTTGTAAATTTGTTTAAGTTCCTTGTAGATTCTGGATATTAGCCCTTTGTCAGATGGGTAGATTGCAAAAATTTTCTCCCATTCTTTAGGTTGCCTGTTCACTCTGATGATAGTTTCTTTTGCTGTGCAGAAGCTTTTTAGTTTAATCAGATCTCATTTGTCAATTTTGATTGTTATTGCTTTTGGTGTTTTAGTCATGAAGTCTTTGCCCATGTCTATGTCCTGAATGGTATTGACTAGGCTTTCTTCTAGGGTTTTAATGTTTTAGGTCTTATGTTTAAGTCTTCAATGCAGCTTGAGTCAATTTTTGTATAAGGTGTTAAGGAAGGGGTCCAGTTTCAGTTTTCTGTATATGGCTAGCTAGTTTCCCAGCACCATTTATTAAATAGGGAATACTTTTCCCATTACTTGTTTTTGTCAGGTTTGTCAAAGATCAGATGGTTGTAGATGTGTGGCATTATTTCTGAGGCCTCTGTTCTGTTCCATTGGTCTATATATCCATTTTGGTACCAGTACCATGCTGTTTTGGTTACTGTAGCCTTGCAGGGGTTGCAAACCTAGTATCTGATAAAACAGACTTTAAAGCAACAAAAGTGAAAAAAGACAAAGAAGGGCATTACATAATGGTAAATGGATCAATGCAACAAGGAGTGCCAACGATTATATATATATATATATATATATATATATATATATATATATACACCCAATATAGGAGCACCCAGATTGATAAAGCAAATTCTTAGAGACCTACAAAGAGACTTAGACTCCCACACAATAATAGTGGTAGACTTTAACACCCCACTGTCAATATTAGACAGATCAAGAAGACAGAAAATTAACAAGGATATTTAGGACTTGAACTCAGCTCTGGACCAAGCATACCTAGTAGACATTTACAGAACTCTCCACCCCAAATCGACAGAATATGCATTCTTCTCAGTACCACATCACACTTACTCTAAAATCGACCACATAATTGGAAGTAAAACACTCCTCAGCAAATGCAAAAGAATGGAAATAATAACAAACAGTCTCTCAGACTACAGTGCAATCAAATTAGAACTCAGGATTAAGAAACTCACTCAAAACCGCACAATTACATGGAAACTGAACAAGCTGCTCCTGAGTGACTACTGGGTAAATAATGAAATTAAGGCAGAAAGAAATAAGATCTTTGAAAACAATGAGAACAAAGACACAACATACCAGAATCTCTGGGACACAGCTAAAGCAATGTTTAGAGGGAAATTTATAGCACTAAGTGTCCACAGGAGAAAGCAGGAAAGATCTAAAGTTGACACCCTAACATCACAATTAAAAGAACTAGAGAAGCAAGAGCAAACAAATTCAAAAGCTAGCAGAAGACAAGAAACAACTAAAATCAGAGCAGAACTGAAGGAGATAGAGACATGAAAAGTCCTTCAAAAAATCAATGAATCCAGGAGGGGTTTTTTTGAACAGATCAACAAAATAGATAGACCACTACCCAGACTAATAAAGAAGAAAAGAGAGAAGACTCAAATAGACACAATAAAAAATGATAAAGGGGATATCACTACTGATCCCCCAGAAATACAAACTACCATCAGAGAATACTATAAAAACCTCTACACAAATAAACTAGAAAATCTAGAAAAAATTTATAAATTCCTGGACACATCCACTCTCCCAAGACTAAACCAAGAAGAAGTCAAATCCCTGAATAGATCAATAACAAGTTCTGAAATTGAGGCAGTAATTATAGCCTACCAACCAAAAAAAAAGGCCCAGGACCAGACGGATTCACAGCCAAATTCTACCAGAGGTACAAAGAGGAACTGGTATCATTCCTTCTGAAATTATTCCAAACAATAGAAAAAGAGGTACTCCTCCCTAACTCATTTTATGTAGTCATCCTCTTTTTAAAGTACATTCTTATCATGATAAATAAAATAGGAATTTCTTGGTTTATTTTATCTAATTATTTTATCTTGCCCTAATCTCTAATCTCTATTTTTATTTCCTTCTGCTTCTCCCTCTTACTTCAATTGCATTCATGTGTTTGTGGTAGACCCTTGAATATGCATTTTTTTAAAACTATAAAATTTTGTGGTTGTTTTTGAGTTATATGTTGTATATATAGTTTTTACTTTTGTAAATCCAACACTATATTATTAAGACCTATTCTTGTTATCGTGTGTATCTTTACCTCATTTTTTTTTCATGCTGCACAGCACACTATTACTTCTTCTTCTTTTTTTTTTTTTTTGAGATGGAGTCTCGCTCTGTTGCCCAGGCTGGAGTGCAGTGGCGTGATCTCGGCTCATTGCAACCTCTGCCTCCCGTGTTCAAGCGATTCTTCTGCCTCAGCCTCCCGAGTACCTGGAACTACAGGCGTGTGTCACCACGCCTGGCTAAGTATTTTTAGTAGAGATGGAGTTTCACCATATTGGACAGGCTGGTCTCAAACTCCTAACCTTGTGATCTGCCCGCCTCGGCCTCCCAAAGCACTGTGATTATAGGCATGAGCCACCACACCTGGCCTGTATTCCATTTTTATAAACAATTGTGTGTGTGTGTATTACAGTGATAGATTCTTTGCCTCCTTCCAACTCCCTGCAACAACAATTGTCTCTACTGGATACCGTATCCTTTCATGAGTTTAAACTTAAGTTTATTTGCCATGTGGATCAAGAGTAGGACTGCTGGTTCATAGGTTTGGATTTCATTTCACTCCACATTGCTCTCTGGATAGTTGCATCAGTCTGTACTCCCATCAGCAGTACATGTGAAGTCTAGTTTTCTAAATTTAAAAAAAAAAATTTGTTATTATTTGAACATTATCTTCCATCTCACTAATGAGCACTCCTCAAATTTAACCCTTCTGCTGTTTATACCATATATTTAATCCTTCATTTCAACAGATATGGTTTTCATACTGAAAAAATATTTTATGATTGCTAATTTCTTCTTCAGGTTCAAATATTGTGCCTTATGTCTTTGAGAACATTTACTATACATATTTTTGGATTTATTTTAACTTTTTTTTTTCTTCAGAGTGTCTTTCGGTTACTCAGGCTGGAGCAAGTGCAGTGGTGACAGCCTCCTAGCTAACTGCAGCCTTGACCTCCTGGGCTCAAGAGATTCTCCTGCCTCAGCCTCCTTGGTAACTGGGACTACAAGTGCATGCCGCCACACCTAGCTATTTTTTTTAATTATTATTTATTTTGTAGAGACAGGGGCTCTCTTGGTTGCCCGAGCTGATCTCAAGCTCCTAGCTTCAAGCAATGCTCCTGTCTTGGACTCCCAAAGTGCTGGGATTACAGACGTAAACCACCACACATGGTCACATATTTTAAACTATTGTTAATTTTTGTAAATCTGGTTGTCTTTGATATACATGTATTTTATTTTAGAGTCATTGAATTCCTTTGAGGCCTATTTTTTCCTAGTAAGATTTATTATGCTGATTAAGAATACATGGCACTAAAATCAGGCTCAAGATTGACCCACCAGAAGTGTTTAGAATGAAGGACTCCTTAGGAAATAACTGGATTCTGCCACCCTTTGTTTGCCTTCCTCCTCCATAAAAGTTGGTGTATTCACGTGTCCTGGGTGGTGCTGTTTACCAAGACTGGTCTCCCTCAGTTTTAATCACCATCCTAACACTCATTGTATGGAGTAGCTGGGTTAGAGGAGAATGCCTAGGGTTCAGATGGTCTTTCTGCGTTTGTCACTATTTCCTCATTTTCCAAGCTAGGTTGAGTCATATTCTGCCTGGCCGACTCCAAAATGGCTTTAAAGGAGTTAGCAGTGGTCTCTTTTCAACTCTAGTTTTGCTAGAATGGGAGCTCCATTTGGTCAAAGTTTTGTCTTTCTGGCTCTGTAGTGTATTCTCAGTATTTAGAAGAGTGCCTTGCACACTGTGGGTACTCTAACTATTGAAAGAGCAGAAAAAAATACAGGAATGCAATGAAAAGGAATGATGACCACTAAAAACTTCCGCCCCAGCATATTCTGGTTTCCTTACATCTCAGTTTTCTGCTCTTTGCTGTCATTTTTTTCTCTACTCGCAGACTTTACTGTAGTTTGTAACTGCAAGGGTTTCTCACATCTTTTAGTATTAGATGCTGATTTCTGTGTCATTTCCAGGGTTGTGGTCACAGAAAGAAGCCCACATCATGTTAGTTCTCCATCTTACCAGATAAAGCTTAGCTTAATGTACTTCTATGCCAATTTCTTTGAATAACTAAACTTTCAATAATTTAATCAATCACTGATTAATCCAAGATTTGTCTCAGATGGGGCACAACTTCCACAACCTAATGTAGCTTCCACAACCTAATTTTTAATCCCCAAAAATGAAATTTACCGATTATTTTGTTAAATCATACAAATATAAAAATTCTGAACAGTGAAATAAAGAAAGTATCTCAAAAGTAAGAGTACTCTTGGACAACAATAGCTAAAAAAGTGTAACAAATATGAAAATATGCAGGCTCTGTCTCTGACCTTTAATCATTCTATACTTCTGGGGAGCAGTTATTTTGAGACTCAGTTTTTACAGAAGTAAAATGGGAACAAAAACAGTTCCTCTGCCTGGCTCATAGAATTTCTGTGAGAATAAAAGACAATTAATCTTTCTAAAGATATATTACATATATTGTAAAGTACCACAATTATAAATACAGGAGAATACTTGCTTCTCTTCGTATCCATTTTTCTGTTTCCAATGCTTGTTTGGTTTTTAAAATTTAATAGTATTTTCCTGCTACTCAATGTTTGACTACTGAAATTCTTATATAAATGTTTTCTGCAAAAAAATTTTATGGACATAGAATAATAATTGTATGTGCTCAGTTGCTTGATTAAAATACTTTATTGTGATTATTTTGTAAAGAAAAGAATTGCACTATAATGTCGATGTTGTGCAAATTATAATAATTAAATATTTAGGCTAAAAACGATAATGCAAGAAGGCTAAGTTGTATTGTCATATTGTTAAGATTACTTTTTATTTAATGTTCCTAATCAGAAGTGAACCATTATCTATGTAAAAATAATTTAATTCAGAAAATTTTGGTCTCAAATTTACATAATGCCATCATTATCCTTTTTATGTTCTGGAAAATTTATTCTAAATTACCTAGAAAAAAAGGTTGATTCTATAGTGTTATTTTTTATTCTCTATATCTCAGGTAAGAATAAAGGGAAACGAGTAAGTAAAGGAAAAACAAAGATGAAAAAGGAAATTGTACTCAAGTCACATAGACACTGAAGTCTCAGATGTATGTGGAACTTTCTGTTTGGTAGAGGATATAGAAAAGAGAAAGGGATATCGAATTTCTGACAACCTACGTGCTTAGTGCTTTGTCTACCAATGTGATGAGGACATATTTATTTTTTCCTTGTGCTTTCTGCATTGAGACAAGTACATTATAAGCTTATCATACAAATGATTCAAAAAAAATACTCGCCATTTATTTTCTATTAGTTCTTTTTCTCCCGAGGTTACTGCCCTACAAGGAGCTATTTTAACCTCCTCCTGTCTTTGCCAGTGAGAACATCTTGACATGACTCCAATTCCAATTCTGATGTACTGGAAGAATAAAAACACATTTATTTAAAAAATCTAAAGCATATTAATGATGCCATAGAAAGACATCTTGCTTAAGATAAGCCCATTAATTTTACCTTTGTAAACATGTTTCAGCATGACTGTGTGATTAAGGCTTCATTCTGTGCAGACTACAACTGTAGCAACGGCAGCAGCCAAGAAAAAATAGCAAAATATTTTTAAAAACAGAAGCAAACAGCAAGGCTTTCACAATCCATTGTTTAAATTCATCTTTTATATCTTGTTTTATTGCGTTTTTCTCTCTTACTTTATGTGTATAATGAAATACCATTATCACTGTCATCATCCCCAGATTAAAGCTTCGAGAAAGAAAGAAAGCCTATCCTAGAATTGATTTTTAGGCCATTTTACTTGAGATGATCGACAATAAGAGGATTTTCATTTGCTTTGTCAGTGTAAGCTGGCTGCTGTGCATCTGCAGTGAAGGCAGCACAGGTCTCTGTTTGCATTCTGCGGTTTGTTAGCAGCAATGACCTGTCACAGAAAGGCTCTACAGCACAATATTTACACAGATCATTAGCAGAGCAGACCCTGTTTGCCAGATCGCTAATCAGTTTTGTGACTGCCCCAGTTTCATCAAGACTATAAATAAAATAAGCCATCGGAAAAAGCTCCAAAATGGGCATTGTCAGAGCTGGTGACACTTCTGGCAGCTCTAGGCATATAAATCCTCTGATAATAATGCAGTGGTAGTGACAAATAAAAGACTGCATTTAAACTATGAGTCTGAAAATGAGTGTGTGTGTTACTGCAAGAGGACCTTCTTTTCTTTATACTCTGTCGATTTCAGCTTACTCTAGCCCTATGGTGTAAACAAGCTAGCAATAGTCAAGTAGGATTTGCTTTTTTCTCCTTTCACTCACGATTGAAATTTGCTTACTGCAGTTTGCGATGTAGAGTCCATGACATGTGAACCCATGGTGAAAAGCCACAAAAGAAGGGGAATTCGTAAGTGAGAGGGCACGCTGGACTTACTGGCCTGTCTGACCTCCGTTGAAAATATTACTCACAGAATCAGTAGCATTCAAAATGCTGACAGAAAGATTGTAAGAGGTCAGCAAAGGGTGAACCTGTATGAGAGCCTAGGGACCAACCTTTAAGAGTTATGATAAACTATTAGCTGTATGGTGGCCACAATTGAAATGCAACTGTTTATTTATTTCTCTTTTTTCATTTTTTGATATGTGCCCAAATCAATAGTGATTGCTTTCTCCTTTGTTGTAGAAAAAAAGTATATAAAAGACTCAGAAGAGTCAAGCCCTGGGATGTTTTAATAAGAAGTTGACATTGAATAAAAACATTATTTGCAAAGAGAGTTTATTAAAGTCTTTCAGCTTTGCTCCCTCTGTCTCCTTTGTCACTTGACTCTTACTGAGAACCACAAGGCCATCTAGTAAAGATTACATGGTAATCATTAGTAGACAGATGCAATTGTGTCTGCCATGTAATCTTTACTTTCTGTTCCAGGAAAATATGAGTATTTTTAAAGTTAGTGGAAATTTACAGATTTTCTATATACAGGGCATTGGCAGGCCAGAGAAACGCTAATTAATTCATGTCATAAATGTTTATTGTGCAGCTACTATGTGTACTGGATAGAAAGTAGTATCTGACAGACATGTTCCTTGCCCTCTGAAACTCAGTTTAGAAAAGAGAATACAGGTTCAAATATAATGAACATTTGTTTTATTTTATATTACATAATATCTTTTTGTTGTTGTTGTTTCTATCTTCATTTTCACCAGGGGAAGGGAATCTGTGTCTATTGGAACTCTTTTCCTATGTTCGTTTTAGGATTGCCATACCTCTGGTTTCCCAGGTATAGTTCATCAAAACTAGGGACAGATCTAGTCTTTATGGGAACTGCAACTTATAAAATGTGGAGTTCCTCTTTAGGAAAAAGGATATGCAGCCCTAGAAAATGAAAGGATCCAAATTTTTGAAGAAAATGAACTTAGTATGGTATATTCTTACTTTTTTTCTGAGTGAAAGATATCTTATGTATCATACCAATTCCCAATAAGTTTCATCCTTTTGTCTGCGTTATTTTCAGTTTTCAGTAAAATAAATGTGTGTATACCACAACCTCTAAGTACTTCCTTTAGACCTTATGGTTTGAATTTGGTATGAAAGAGGAAGCTTCTAAAAGTGTTTTCTATGTGCATGATGATTTATAGGCAAATATACCGGCACATATAGTTACCTTAAAACTTAGATATTTAAGTATATGTTGGATGAATGAAAAAATTGAAGAACAGAAAAATGTAAAAACAAAAGAAGGTAAGTCAAACATTTTGAGAGAGTTCTTGGATGAAAAGTAGAAATTTAAAATGTAAAGTTGTAAAAAATAGCAATGTCCAGTAAATGCATGCACATAAACATGAAATAACTTAAATGTCATTATGCTAATTTTACTTGCATAAACTTTCAGGACATGAATATAGATAAGAACATAATTACAGTAGTTAGAATGATTAAAAAATAGTGTGCCCTATACTATGAATTTCACACACAGTTTGATTACTGGGAGACATTTAGAGCAGCAGACTAAATGTATAGGTGCTATACTGTAAATTGTAAGTTGGATGGGAGGCCAGCAACTTTGGTATTGGCTATAGCACTTCAATTAAAGACAAGTGGCTGGGCCTGGTGGCTCATGCGTATAATCCCAGCACTTTGGGAGGCTGATGCTGAAGGATTGCTTGAGCCCAGCAATTCAAGACCACCTTAGGCAACAAAGTGAGACCCTGTCTACCAAAAATTCAAAAAATTAGCCAGACATAGTGGCACGTGTCTGCGGTCCCAGCTAAATGGGAGGCTGCCTTGAGAGGATTACTTGAGACCAGAAGGTCAAGGCTGAAATTAGCTGTGATCATGCTACTGCACTATAGCCTGGGTGACAGAGTGAGATCCTATCATAAATAAATAAATAAATAAATAAAATAAAAAATAAAGAAAAGTGTCATTTACATCTGTTTACGTTTTTTTAAATCCTGTTTGAGGTATTTTCTTATCACTGTACAAAGTCACTAAACATATGCATTCTATAATAGGGTAATCAAGTAAAAAAAAGAGAAATTTATTTTTTCATAGTATTTTTGTTAAAATTCATTGAAGGATATCTTACAGAAAATGTGACATTCTTACATTCTGATTATCAGGGCACAATTTGATAAAATTTTATCAAGTGAACAATAATCTGGTAATCAGAATGCAGATTAAGAAAGAGAACACTAAAACCTCATAACCCTACCTTCCCTGCACTATTTACTCTAAACTCCATTCCATCCATTAAAGATAGTGATGACTGAATTTTTTTTTTTTTTTTTTTTTTTTTTGGCTATTCTTCTGACTCTAGTTTCTGAGATTTTTTTTTTTATTATACTTTAAGTGTTAGGGTACATGTGCACAATGTGCAGGTTAGTTACATATGTATACATGTACCATGCTGGTGTGCTGCACCCATTAACTTGTCATTTAGCATTAGGTATATCTCCTAATGCTATCCCTCCCCCCTCCCCCCACCCCACAACAGTCCCCAGAGTGTGATGTTCCCCTTCCTGTGTCCATGTGTTCTCATTGTTCAGTTCCCACCTATGAGTGAGAATATGCGGTGTTTGTTTTTTTGTTCTTGCAATAGTTTACTGAGAATGATGATTTCCAATTTCATCCATGTCCCTACAAAGGACATAAACTCATCCTTTTTTATGGCTGCATAGTATTCCATGGTGTCTATGTGCCAAATTTTCTTAATCCAGTCTATCATTGTTGGACATTTGGGTTGGTTCCAAGTCTTTGCTATTGTGAATAGTGCTGCAATAAACATACATGTACATGTGTCTGTATAGCAGCATGATTTATAATCCTTTGGGTATATACCCAGTAATGGGATGGCTGGGTCAAGTGGTATTTCTAGTTCTAGATCCTTGAGGAATCGCCACACTGACTTCCACAATGGTTGAACTAGTTTACAGGTGATGACCGAATTTTAACATAGACTCAGTTTGCCTGGTTGTACATTGACGTGTGTGTGTGTGTGTAACTCTTATTTTTATATACTATGTTTTTTTGAGATGGAGTTTTGCTCTTGTTGCCCAAGCTGGAGTGCAGTGGCGCAATCTTGGCTCACTGCAACCTCCGCCACCTGGGTTCAAGCGATTCTCCTGCCTCAGCTTCCCGAGTAGCTGGAATTACAGGTGCTCACCATCAATTCAGGCTAATTTTTTGTATTTTTAGTAGAAACAGGGTTTCACCATGTTAGCCAGGCTGGTCTCGAACTCCTGACCTCAGGTGATCCACCTGCCTCAGCCTCCCGAAGTGGTGGGATTACAGGTGTGAGTCACCACGCCCAGCCATTTTGACATAATTTTAAACTTAGAAAGAAGTTGCAAGAATAGTAGAAGAAAGTCCTATATACCCTTTTATCCAGAATTTTTTTCTAAATTACATTTGAATATATTGGTAGTGTGCTCTCTCTCTCTCTCTCTCTTCTTTCTATACTATTTGCAAATTGGAGCCATCTTATTATTTTAATCCTAAGTACTTTATTGTATATGTCCTAAAAACCAGAACATTCTCTTAGGTAATCACATTTTATTATATAATTCCTACACAGTTTAAAAAATCAGGGAAATTTAGACTATATTTTAGTGTTTTTTAAAAATATATACTAAGTATGAATTATTTCTTAATGGGTTAAACATAGACTTGGAACTAAAAAACTCTAACTAGGGCCACTCTTTCTTTATAGAAGTTATTGACATTTTCTCAAGGAGAACAGATGAAATCCTAGGGGGCATGCCTTGCAAATTCATCATTTAATATGAGGACTGCTACTGGTAGAGCAACAGCTATTTGGCCCTATATTTCAGTGAGGCCCTAAATGGCAACAATTTTAGAATTAATGGCAAATGTAGTCCCTGATTCTTTTTGTTTGTTTTTGTTAATAGGCTCACTTCAGCGTCCATCAAATATTCCATTAAAGGTCGTCTTCTTGGTTTCTTGATGTAGTTGCTGTTGGTGATATTTCTTAATATATTAAGATGGAACAACTTACCATTCCATTTTGAGTCATATTTTAATTCATTAAGCTAAAATGTTTGAGTAAATACAGGGTTTAGCATAGTATTTTGCACAGAATACTTTAAGAAATACAGATGTTTAAAAAGCAATCTTGCTCTTAAGGACCTTCAATGCTAATAGAAAGACCACTCCTATAAGAAGAATATGTGATGTAATCCCAAGTGCACTAAGGATTTTGATGAGGGAAAAATTATTTCTCCTTGGGTTTATCAGAGAAGATCTTGAAAGAGCTGGCATCTGAGATGTGCTGTGAAGTTATGTAGGTTTCTACAGGTGATAATAGAAAAAGAGTGTATCGAAATGGGTATGTGTGTGATGCCACAAAGAAATTTTAGTAGAATTTAAGGTACTGAATAGTTTGATGAGAAGGTGGTTTAGCATGAGCAAGAAAAATGAAATATTACCGGAACAATTTTGAAAGGCTATAAATTACTGGCTAAAGAGTTGGATATTTCTCAGAAAAGGTAGGGAACCGTGAACATTATTTTATTTTTTGAACAGGTGATGCATTTACATGATACAGAATTGGAAAATTCCACATTTCTATCCTTTTCTATTGTCTGCCCAGTTCTTACCTCTTAACAACAGCTTCTTGGTGTCTTAAGTATTTTATGTATATATAAGAAATAACAAAATACATTATTGATTTCCTTTATTTGGACAGCATAACACGTATCCTTTTGGCACATTGCTTTATTCGTTAGCAATTTATCTTGAAAAACTTTCCACGTTAATACATATAGAAAATTTTCAGTATTTTTACTGTTGCAGAACATCAAAGGGATGTGTCATCATTAAGTCGTACTATATTAAAAACTTTGTTGTTTTCAGAATCTTGTTCTTATATATTTTTCTGCAATGAATATAGTCATATATGTCGTTTTATATGTAAGTAGTTATTTAGGATAATCTGCCTAGAGTATAATTGATTGGACATGCACACATGCATTTTTTATTTGATAAATATGTACTAATTTATACTCCAATCGTGGATGCATGAATGGTAGTACCTACTTCTCTATATGTTTGCTGAAGTTTGTGTTATTAAATATGCTATTCTAATAGGTGAAAGAATATTGATAGAGTTTTATTTGTAGTTTTATTATGGTTGAACTTGAATACACTTTTATATACTTAAAAGTCATTTGCATTTACTTAATTTTTTATTTTTATTTTATTTATTTATTTTTTTGAGATGGAGTCTCACTCTGTTGCCCAGGCTGGAGTGCAGTGGCACAATCTTGGCTCACTTCAAGCTCCACCTTCTGGGTTCACGCCATTCTGGGCTCACTGCAAGCTCCACCTCCCGGGTTCACGCCATTCTCCTGCCTCAGCCTCCCGAGTAGCTGGGACTACAGGCACCCGCCACAAAACCCGGTTAATTTTTTTTAGTAGAGACGGGGTTTCACCGCTTTAGCCAGGATGGTCTCGATCTCCTGACCTCGTGATCCAACCGCCTCAGCCTCCCAAAGTGCTGGGATTACAGGTGTGAGCCACCGCGACGGCCTGCATTTACTTTCTATCAATTGTTTATATACTTGCCTATATTTCTTTTGAGTTTGAGTCTTTTGCTCATAAATTTCTAGAAACACTTCATATAGTAAAGAAATTATACTATATGAAGAGTAAATATTATTCTTTAATTGATTACTTCTAGTTTCAATTTGTTTACAATATTTCACTTGATCTTAGCCAAAAGACTGAGAAGTGAATGTTTACAATATTTTTTCATGAAGTTATTGTTACTGTATTCACATAGACCCATTTTTTAATCTTTTAGCTTCTAAACTTTTAGTTATAATTACTTATACCTTAACCACTTAAAGGTTATAAAGGAAATGTCCTATGTTTACTTCTAGAGCCTTTGTGGTTTTATTTTCTACATTTAATGCTTTAATCTCTTTAAAAATAATCTTACACGCAGTAGGGTCATATGAATCTACCCATGTTATTTTTCCACAAAGTGGTAACTCATATTTCTTTACTGGTTTGAGCATTAATATACACTTTTTGGGATTTTCTATTCTTTTTTATTTACCAATCTAGACTCTATTAAAATTCTCACAGTCCTGCTTTAAAAAAAAAAAACTTATTTTTTCTTTTATGCTGTCCTCTATCAGTCACATTTATTTACATCTTTGGCCCTTCCGGTTTTAATTTGAAAACAGCCTGTACTTTCTCATCCCTAGTAGGCAGAAAAGAATAGCTGTTCACCATTTCAAGCCTCTTTATTTGTTTGAAAAATGCATTCAGTGCCAGTGAGATTTACATACATTTTTAGTAATAAAAAAGTAAAAGTTTTTTCCTTAATGGCACAAATCAACCTCAGTTACTGTAAACTACTTTATGAAATACTTTTATAAAGTATTAGTACTTGCTTTTAAAAGTTATGCTGTTCAAAGAGATTTTGAAAATACCTTAATGAAACACACAAAGTGATTACCTGTAGGTTAAAAGAACCACCCTAGATGGAAGAAACAATTTAATGTATGTATTTGTTGTTAAGGATTTCTATCTTGCCCATATCTCTATCTTAACCACCCTAGCTGTATTAGTCTGTTTTCACGCTGCTGATAAAAATATACCCAAGACTAGGCAATTTACAAAGGAAGCAGGTTTAATGGACTTACAGTTCCAGGTGGCTGGGGATGCCTCACAATTGTGTTGGAAGTTTAAAGGCAAATCTCACATGGCAGCAAATAAGAGAAGAGAGCTTGTTCAGGGAAAGTCCCCTTTATAAAACCATCAGGTCTCATGAGACTTATTCACTGTCACCAGAGCAGCATGGGAAAGACCTGCCCCCATGATTCAGTACCTCTCACTGGGTCCCTCAAACAACACATGGCAATTCAAGATGAGATTTGGGTGGGGACACAGCCAAACCTTATCATTTCACCCTGGCCCCTCCCACATCTTATGTCCACACACTTCAATACCAATCACGCCTTTTAAACAGTCCTCCAAAGTGTTAACTCATTTCAGCATTAACTCAAAAGTTCACAGTCCAAAGTTTTATCAGAGACAAGGCAAGTCCCTTCCACCTATGAGTCAGTAAAATAAGAAGAAAATTAGTTACTTCCTACATACAATGGGGGTACGGGCATTGGGTAAGTACAGCTGTTGCAAATGGAAAAAACAATGGCTAAAACAAAGGCCCCATGAAATTCTGAAATCCAGCAGGGCAGTCAAATATTAAAGGTCCAAAATGATCTCTTTTGACCCCATGTCTCATATTTGGGTCACACTGATCCAAGAGGAGGTTCCCATGGTCTTGAACAGCTCTGCACCTCTGTCTTTGCAGGACACAGCCTCCCTCCCCGCCGCTTTCATGGGCTGGCATTGAGTGTCTGCAGCTTTTTCAGGTGCACAGTGCAAGCTGTCGGTACAGCTACCATTCTGGGGTCTGAAGGATGATGGCATTCTTTTCACATCTCCACTAGGCAGTGCCCCAGTGGGGACTCTGTGTGGGGGTGCCCACCCCACATTTCCATTTCACAATATCCTAGCAGGGGTTCTCCATGAGCACCCTGCCCCTGCAGCAAACTTCTGCTTGAACATCCAGGTGCTTCCATACGTTCTCTGAAATCTAGGCAGAGGTTGCCAAATCAATTCGTGACTTCTGTGTACCCTCAGGCTCAACATGTAAAACCTGCCAAGGCTTGGGGCTAGCACCCTTGGAAGCCATGGCCTGAGCTGTACCTTGGCCCCTTTTAGTCATGGCTAGAGCAGCTGGGATGCAGGGCACCAGGTCCCTAGACTGCACATAGAGGGAACCTGAGCCTGCCTCATGAAACCATTTTTTCCTCTAAAACCTCCCAGCCTGTGAGGAGAAGGACTGCCACAAAGGTCTCTGACATGCCCTGTAGACATTTTCCCCATTGTCTTGGTGACTAACTTTCAGCTCCTTGCTACTTATGCAAATTTCTGCAGCCAGCTTGAATTTCTCCTCAGAAAATGGGATTTTCTTTTCTATCACATTGTCAGGCTGCAAATTTTCTAGACTTTTATGATCTGTTTTCCTTTTAAAACTGAATGCTTTTAACACCACACAAGTCACATCTTTTTTTTTTTGGGAGTCTCACTCTGTCACCCAGGCTGGAGTGCAGTGGGGTATGATCTCAACTCACTGCAACCTCCCCCTCCTGGGTTCAAGCAATTCTCCTGTCTCGGCCTCCCGAGTAGCTGAGACTACAGGCGCACACTACCATGTCCGGCTAAAAAGTCACCTCTTGAATGCTTTGCTGCTTAGACATTTCTTTTGCCAGATACCGTAAATCATCTCTCTCAAGTTCAAAGTTCCACAAATCTCTAGGGCAGGGGCAAAATGCCACAAGTCTCTTTGCTAAAACATAACAAGAGTCACCTTTGTTCCAGTTTCCTACAAGTTCCTCATGTCCATCTGAGACCACCTCAGACTGGATTGCATTGTCCATATCACTATCAGCATTTTGGTCAAGCCATAGAACAAGTCTCTAGGGAGTTCCAGACTTTCCCACATTTTTCTGTTGTTTTCTGAGCCCTCCAGACTGTTCCAACCTCTGCCTGTTATCCAGTTCCAAAGTTGTTTCCACATTTTCAGTTATCTTTAGAGCAGAGTCCCACCCCACTCCTGGTACCAATTTACTGTATTAGTCTGTTTTTATACTGCTGATAAAGACATACCCAAGACTGGGCAATTTACAAAAGAAAGAGGTTTAATGATCTTACAGTTCCATGTGGCTGGGGAGGCCTCACAATCATTGCAGAAGGCGAGAGGCATGTCTCACATGGCAGCAGACAAGAGAAGAGAGCTTGTGCAGGGAAACTTCCCTTTATAAAATTATCAGATCACATGAAACTTACTATCATGAGAACAGCATGGGAAAGACCTGCTCCCATGATTTAATTACCTCCCACCAGGTCCCTCTGACAACACATGGGAATTCATAGTGAGATTTGGTTGTGGACACATCACTAGATAACAGCAAAGCTGTACAATTCTTAAACATTGTCATGGAAAAGTAATTCCACAACTCTAATTTGAACTATATGTGATGTTGTTTACATTCATCATACCCTCTTTATGCTAAACTAAAATATTTAGCTGTAATTTATGATAACTATTTATAGTTCCTCTTTCTTTCCCTCTCTGAACTTCCTGCAATACCCTGCAGAGTTGGTATATTATCTACCTTTTTCCTTTACTTTTACTATTTTTGTGAACAAAAATGTCAGAAGATGAAGTATTTTAAGTCAATTTTTTTTTTAAATGGTGAAAAATTTTAAACACTGTGAGGGGCCAATAAAAGAGATTATTTTCATTGTGAGGGACATTTTAGCATGAGTCAAATCACATGACAGTCAATTTTGTTCTTTGATTAATGTACAGGTACAATGAATTTCAGTTATGGGAGAACTTCTCTTTCTCCTTTGACTTATTCTCTCAATTTTTGCACTCTCATTTTTGTTTTTTTGTTTTTTTTTTTTTTGTAAAGAGTTTCTAGTAAGGACTATGTGTTAATCAGTTTTAAGAACACAGATTTTATCAAAGAAAATTATCTCTTTAAAATATTTGCACTAATGGAAAAATATGTGAACCACCCAGTCTTATTTTATTGGACCCCAAGTTAGTTTGTGTTTGTGTGTATGTGTGGGTATTTATCTGATATCAACCATTATCTTTTAACATCAGCATGAAACAACATGCTGGTCTGAAACATAAAAATATATATCACTCTTACCAAAGTCAGTCTGTATTTTAATTGCTTTTTCCTGAAAGTGGAATCATGTAAAACTTAAAAACAGATTGAAATGAAAGGGAAAAATTTGATTCTGTAATTAACTTACCATGTGACCTTCACCACACTGATGGTCCTTACAGATCTAAATTTCTATATCTGTAAAATAAAGAAGGTTGATTTTACATGATTTCAAAAAATATATCATTTTTTTGACAGTCATAGAAGTTTTATATAATTCTCTATTCTAGTCTACTGCAAAGGAATAGCAGCAGGTGAAAACTATAATGTTTGACCCTGAAGATTATTATGTGATATGTGTAAGGGTCTTAATGTGTACAATTCCATTTTTAGGGGCTCAAGAGATAAAATTTCTTTTCCAAAATGGATAAATACAAAATCATTTTTGCAATAAAAATGTATTGTGAGGGAATCTTTTGAATCAATGTGATTACTTATTGTGGAAGATACAGGCCATATCGCATAGCGTCTTGCCTCAAGGATCTTATCACTTAGTGAGTGAAATAAAACAATTACACAGATAACTGCCAGGAGGCAGCACTAAATGTCTTAAGTGATGGATAGACAGAGAGGTAAGAAGGGTCCAATCAAATGCTAAAATGTTAATAAAACCCAGATCACAGGCGGTGATGATCAAATGAATTGAACAGGCTTAGGAGAAATCCGTGAAAGAACGAAATCTGTATCCCTGGGATCTTTCCATTTTTGAGAATATATTACATTTGAATCTCTTAGGGATGTGTGATTCCCCTTCCCTTTAAAATAGTTACAGTATAACTTCCATTAAAATCTTGGATTTTGTCAGTCATAGCAGACAATAGCATTTTATGTCCTGTGAAGAATTGTATGCATAATTTTGGAAACAAGACAAAGGAAAGAGGCTCTCTAAGCTGTTAGAAACAAAGGATTTTTAAAATCTTTCTTCTCTCATACCTCCATTAAGGTTGTCTTTTCTCCTTTAAAGCTATAAGAAATATTCTGAATACTAATGTGACAGAACCAGATGCAATCCCCAAATATCATATTTACTTAATATAAATTCATAGTCCTTACCTTTAAGGAGATTTGACAATTCACTTTGTCTTTTAGCCTTGGGGTAGTCAGGAAAGTTAGGCACAATGTTTTAATGCTCATTCCTTCTCTTTTGCTCTTAGCTATCATTAATCCCTAATGCCTGGAACTGCATAAATTTCTTCTACAAAGGAAGCCCACAGGTCGTTTTTATTTGGAGCACTTTTTTTAATATGCGCCACAATATATTCCGGTATGTATTACCTCGTCTGAATGCAAAACTGTTTTATATGCAGATTTAAGGTAATGAGCAGTCAAGTTTAAAAAATGGTTCTGGTATCCTGTAGCTTCTCAATAATAATATACTCTTACATTCCAACAGAGAAGGATGGATTATGGGTTTTTCAATTTGCATCAGGCATATTAATTGCAGAGTAGGGCTTCCACATAAAATATCAATGTACTGGAACAAACTGTTAATGTACCAGAATATGAACACTTACATTCATTTCTGGAGCTTTAAAAGGAATCATCCCCCTCCCCCGCTTTTTAATATCTATACCTCTGGAGATGGTACAGTTTTTTAGTCAGTTAATGAGAACTATGTAACCACCATTTCTCCAAAAATCCCTAATTAGATTAAGTGCAATAGGGCTATTTTAGTCATTTCTGCTGGGGAAG
The DNA here is from genome assembly GCF_000001405.40 of Homo sapiens. Classification (NCBI taxonomy): domain Eukaryota; kingdom Metazoa; phylum Chordata; class Mammalia; order Primates; family Hominidae; genus Homo; species Homo sapiens. The sequence continues at coordinate 63,255,400 of NC_000009.12, read as the reverse complement.
AATACAACAAGCCATTAGGGAAAGAGAATAATTTAGAAGGTTTGAAAGAAACTTATTTTAGAGTTACTTTTAAGAAAAATGACATGGAAGATCAACTTTATGTCCTAGTTGGAGGCAGGGAGGCATACTCAACTTTTATTTGCATTATATTTCTCAACTATGAAGAGAATACCTAAACTAGTAAAAGTTTAATTGAAAGTTTTATAAGTAATTTTCAGCTGACGTTTTGCACTGTAGGTTTGATTGTAGAGAACTGGTACTTTATTTCATGGGAGTACTTGAATTATATATTCTCTTGTAAGCATAAAATTGTGAATGTCCATATTTTAAAAAAGCATTATAATAATAAAAACTCTTGTGTTTTAATTTGTCTAATACATTTGGTAACTAATATAAATTATAGATACTCTGGTTAGACTAGAATATAGATGAAAATATTTTTAAATATGTTCTCTTTTTTCTTTAATGTGAATATTTCTTATTTTTCAAAAAATAAAGCAAGGGGAAGAAATAAAGTTGAGATTTAAACACGGCTACATTTTTTTCCCTGAGGCTTGTACTTAATATGCAAATGCTAAGTATTTGGTAAATATTCATTAAGCAAATATCAGACCTTTCACATTTATATTTCACTTTTCATTTTTGATACATGATAAAATTTGTGATTTTATTATTTTCTAACAAAAATAGAATGGGGGCCCACTTTTCAAATCCATCCTGCAAAAGACAATGTTTGAGTTTTTATACCACAGCTGTCCTAAGTAACGAATTATCTCACCAGAGAAGAGAAGAAATGCTAACCACATAATCCAACAGGAGACTTGATTCATTTTGTGTCTGGAACAGTCAGTGCAATGTTACAAACTGAAATGAGTTTCCTTTTCAATCTTCAGGTGAAAAAAGTAGTGAGAATGTCCCGCTTTAAAAAAAAGAAAATCAATGTGACCTTTTTTTTTTTTCATCTTCCTTGAGAAATAATGTGTGTTTGTGTGGGGGTGTGTGTTTTATTTTGCAGTGTTAGTTTTGACCTCATTATGCTCATTATGCTGTTGTAAGGCTAAGTATGTCATGGGTCAAAATGAAGGCAAAATAGACCTTTCTCAGCATTAAAGCACAACCTAATTTATGGTAAAAGTAATTTCCATACTGTTTTAAAGAAATAGCCCTGGACAACATGAATCTTCCTTTGCTGTAGCATGCTGGCTGAAAAACGGGTTAGATATGCATTCCATGAAAAGAACAGGGAAAATCACTAGAACTGTAAACTCTGCATTTGCTGGGTGCTAACATTTTGAGAAATGCTGAAAGTGTGTTATTTTGGTTTTGTATTACATTTAGTAGGTGTATTTTAAACTCAAAGAATTTGATTTCCAGTAAGAAGCCCAAATCAAGTGTTGCAATTGTTTTATTTAAGGTCAATTCTTTCAACTAAACACCTTTTATTTCCAGATGTGTTTTCCCTCTTGTTTGAAATGCCACATGACACAAAATGCTGCCTGTTTTGTGTGCTTTTTTCTACTGCATGCATAGATAGAAAATAGGTTCAAGTGCCTCATTTGAAAATCTTTTACTTAATTCCACCAACTGAAACGATGACATCATGTTTTCAGAGTTTACCTTTCTTGGTAAACATCACCAACAAAAGGTTAATGTTTATGAAGGACATCTTAAATCTTAATTTGATGCATACAATAATTTAAATTTTTATAAACTTTTACTAAATTAAATAAAAGCTGCTTTGAGGTTGTGAGTGATAATGCTAGAGGTAATGATTAAAGGCACCTGCCCCTCCTCCTGATGCATCTACCTTCTGTATCCTCTGATAAAAATCAAATGAAAATTAATCTCAGGTTCAAAGTGGTGTTAACTGTATTCAGGAGTCTTAGGATGTCCTTTACTTCCTTTGAAGCATTACCTCATGACCTAACTACAATTTCAGCATAGCTGTTGATTTTTGATTGTAGGTTTTATTTTGTTTTTTTATTTTTACATTCTTGTGGGGAGGGGGATTTAATCTCTTAAACTTTGTTGGCAAATTACATCGATGAATGTGTTCTGACAGGAAGCTTTACTGAAATGAAAAGGAGTTGTGTGTAAGGGTGGGAATAACTATTCTAAGAGCTTTTTCATGGTTCTCGTTGCCAGGGAAACCACTGCTTTGTCTGTACATGTTTGGAATGGCTGCCTCATTAGAACTCAGGCTCCTAGACAGTCACTTGTAATACTGGTAAAGTGAAAGGAATGAACCTATTTTAGTTGATTAACTTCAAATTAATAAAAATAGCATATTTAAAAGATAGATGTTTAAAAGCTAAACATATAGAATTATGGGGGAACAATGAAGTTAATATTGATTAGGCCTATTCAGCCACTTGTGTGAGTGGAAGAATAATTTTATTTTTTACTTTCTCTTTGCCTTTTTACATATTTATGGGGAGTAAGCAAATGGACTATTATATGTTAATGCCACCAAATAAACTTGGGATATGATAGATCCTGATTTTTTCACAAATATACAGATTTTTTTCTTATGAATTC